>NC_000012.12:126190887-126492511 GCF_000001405.40 Homo sapiens | reverse complement strand
TACAGAAAGATGATTGTACAAATTGCCTCATTGTCATACTCAACTCAATCATTGTAGTAGGCAGGGGGAAAAGCGTTCTGGGTTCATAGCATCCGGGCCAGCAGTTAAATTTTCCACAAGTCCAGCGGCCGAGACTGCCGGTTGTAACTTGAAACCAGTTTTATCTAACAGCTACTGAAACAAACTGCTGCGACTCTTAAGACTAGTTTTACCCTAGACCATCACCTACCAGTCAGAGACTGCCAGCTTTCCAAAACTTTACAGTGTCAATGAACTTTCCTTCAATACAATACATAAAGGTTTTCCTTTTATAAGACCTCCAACCGTCTCTTTGTTCCTCAGAGATACCAGAGACCACCCAGTTTGTGTTGAAGCCCCAAATTTCAATTCTTTCTTCCAAAATAAAATCTTTTAAATAAGATATATCTCTATGTTTTATATGACTTGGAATATATATATATATATGTATATATATAGAGAGAGAGAGAGTCAGTTTTTGCAATCAAAATAATTGCAATTACTTTTAATTGCAAAAACCACAATTACTTTTGCACTAACCTAATCTGTGTGTGTGTGTGTGTGTGTGTGTGTTTATGCACACAATGGACAATGGCATGAGCATTTTCCCTTTTCTTTTAGGAAAAAAGAAGGTCAATCCTGCTCTAATTCCTGCCAGCCCAGTCTTGTTGCAGGCTGGCCAACGTCTTTTCTCAGCAAGATGGCCAGAGAGAAGAGAGAGAAATCACAGGGTCAGGGAAACCCTAAGTATTTCTGTTGCTATATAATTCCTCATATGAGCAAGATGTTAATCATCTCTAACTAACTGATTAAAGGCTATGAAGTTTTAACTTACAAATAACTTGATATTCCCAAATTATCTAACACAAATGTTTTTTCCAGGGAGTACCCAAGCAACATGCATTCCAGGAGCCCTCAACCAGGGCCACTTGGACTTGTGTTCCAATTTTCTCTAAAGCTTCAATTTCTAGGTAATCGATTAATCTTTTTAACTACCACGAGGAGCTTTGCGCAAAAGGCAGTTTTTTAGCTGGGCGTGGTGGCTCACACCTGTGATCCCATCAATTTTAGAGGCTGAGGCGGGGGGATGATTTGAGCCCAGGATTTTGAGACCAGCCTGAGAAAAACAGTGAGACTGTCTCTCTCAAAAAAAGAAAACAAATTATTTGGGCATAGTGGCACATGCCTGTAGTCCCAGCTACTTGGGAAGCTGAGGTGGGAGGGTCATTTGAGCCTGGGAGGTTGAGGCTACAATAAGCAGTGATCACACCACTGCATTCCAGCCTGGATGACAGAGTGAAACTCTGTCTCAAAAAACCAAAAAGCCAGTTTCTTTGTTTGTTTTGTTGTTGTTGTTTGTTTGACTCTTTTTTTTAATTTTTTTTTTTTTTTTTTTTTTTTACATTGAGTCTCGCTTTGTCACCCAGACTGGAGTGCAGTGGCACAACCTTGGCTCACTTGCAACCTCCGCCTCCCAGGTTCAAGTGATTCCCCTGCCTCAGCCTCCCAGGTAGCTGGAACTACTGGGCACATGCCACCACGCCTGACTAATTTTTGTATTTTTTTTAGTATAGACAGGGTTTCACCATGTTGGCCAGGCTGGTCTCAAACTCCTGACCTCAGGTGATCCACCTGCCTCCACCTCAGCCTCCCAAAGTGCTGGAATTACAGGCTTGCATAAGCCAGTGCACTCAGCCAGAAAAAGTGGTTTCTTATATAAAGGTATTTCTTAAGCTCTGCTAAGGTTGGGACAGCTGCAATCGAACAGCAGGAGAAGCAGTTCTTCTGCAGGACACACCAGGCTTGTCTCACCAGGTAAAACAAATGTAATTAGTGAAGCAGGAAATATAAGAAAAATAAGTAAACAGAAAAACAGGTTTTCCTATACTTGGCCGACTCACTCCAAGGCCAGCAATAGGCAGGGCCCTAGCGGGCCTTGATAGCACTATCTGAAAAGCCAGAGCCCAAAGGAATGAGCTCCAGAGACTCTCCCAACACACCTGCCCCCTAGAACAAGGATAAGAAAAGCAAGTTCTTCTTATGAGTTGCCCCCTTTGAAATTCTTTCCCTATACCATTATCCCGTGATCTGCTCTCACAACTACTTTTGTAACTATTTCTGCAAATTTGCAAGGATTTTGTAAGTTCCTGTTTCCAGCTGTGCAGTATGGCGAAGGTCACAAGACATGCCTGAGTTGTAAAACCTGTCACTGATAAACTGTCTTTGTTCTACCTGCTTTCACGCCACTGCGTTTGGCACCACAGATCATGTATAAAAGTCAAAGCCCTGTCCAGGGCTCAGCTTTTTGGATGTGAATCTGCTGAGCCAGTGCACCTAAATAAAAATCCTCCTGTCTCACCCATTGGTCTCTCCAGTCTCCTGATTCTCGCAACATTAGCATGTCCATCCATCCTCATAAGAGCTCTACTGGGTAGGTATGAGTATCATCATCTTTTTAAAGTCAAATTTGTACTATGACATAATTGTAGATTCACATTCAGTGATAAGTAACAGTATGGAAGGATTTTACCCACTCTTAACTCAGGTTGTCCCAGCGGTAACAGCTTGCAAAACTACAGTGAACAATCATCACCAGGAAATTGACACAGAAATGATCTGATCTTATTCGGAGTTCCCATGTTTATAGCTGTATGTCTATGTGTGTGCATTTAGTTCTATGTAACATCATTACATGTGTGGTTTGTCTCTCCACTGCCACAGTCCCGACACAGATCAGTTCCATCATCACAAGAATCCCTTGGGCTGCCCCTTTATGAACACACATCCCTCCTGACACTGCTACTCCCAGCCCTGGCAACCACTAATCCATTCTCCCTCTCTATCATTTTGTCTTTTAAAGAATGATTTATAAATAGAATTGGATAGTATATTATCTTTTTACAGACAAATAAATAAGACATAAGCAAGCTAGTTATATAACTGGAAGTTCCAGTGGAAGCCACAGGATAGCTGAGGATTTTACCACTGCAAATCTTTGCTCCCAATCCCTACAGCACACCCTCTCAGACTTGTTCTGAAATGTGCTTTATTTTAATCATTTTCAAAATTTCACTTGCATCTTTGTGGACAAGAACAGAAACTTTAACTCAATATGATTTCACTGATTTTGAAATATTCTGTTTAAGATAAAAGAGAAAAGCCTTTTAATGTAAAAGGAGAGAAAAAAATGCAGCCCTCTTTTCTCTCCAGACCCCATGTTACTAACCCACATTCATTCAGGCAAATGCAGTCTGGAAGCATGTGCTGTTGGACATGCATCATATTAAACACATTCCTTTCATCATTTTCTGCCATGTAGAATTCCGGTGATGTAACACAGTATCCATCTTTCTGCATTTTATTAAAACATTGGATGTTTTGGAAACACTGGCCCTATCTTTCCATTTGAACAGCAGGTGATCACAAGCCTTTGGTGGGTGTGAGTCCCAGCTGGCTGTGGTCTTCACCTGGTCTGACATTGGGAAAGACGTGCTGGGATTCAGCAGCTGCTTCTTCTGCTTCTTACTGTGCCAGAAGTGTTGAAGCTGCTTCCAGCCAGCCAGCTGTCCAGTTAGGGGATGGTCCACTCCCTGGGCCATGCAACAAGAGGCCTGCAACACTGCCCTCCATGGGGTGGTGAAAACTCTCCGAACAGCATGCATGAAATCTTTCATATAGACCTACCCTCGCTGTTAGACCAGCACTTGAGAAACCTCATTACAATGCAGTTTCCCCAAACAATATATGTCAAGGATGGAACAACTTGTGTGCAGGTACTGTAATAAGCAATGTTTTAAAATTATTTCATTTCTTCCTTACAACACTACACTTTGAAATAGGTGCTATTATATGTTTAAACATATAAGGGAAAAGATAGCTCACAGCACAGGAAAAAACGAAACTTCAAGTTAATAGATGTAATTTTTTTTACACAGTCATGCACTGTATAGCTACATTTTGGTAAATGACAAACCACATATATAATGGTGGTCCCACAGGATGATCATACTGTTTCTATTGTACTTTCTCTATGTTCAGATATGCTTAGATACATAAATACCCTTATGTTACAATTGCCTGCAATATTCAGGATAGTAACATGCTATCCAGGTTTGTAGGCTAGAAGCAATGGGCTGTCCTCTAGCCTAGGTGTGTAGCAGGCTATGCCAGCTAGCATAGAGTGTGTGAGTACACTCAGTGATGTTCGCACAATGACAAAATAGCCTAATGATGCATTTCTCAGACATTATCCCCATCATTAAGTGACACATGACTGTGTATTATTTCTTAAATGTCGTCCATATCAGAATTCAGTGTTTATTGGTTTCCACCTTAACAGAGAACACTAACTTGGATGTATTTTGCTAATATAATTTCATTTTTCTGCATAGAGAACTGTGGTTTTTTGAAGCTCTTCCACTTGAACAGGTTTTGTGATCCAATGATGGAATTTGGTCAACATTTTTCTTAAAAATGACCATGTGGAAAAATAAACACTAGGAAGTGGAGCCCATACCTTTGACTAGATGGTGAGAGGAAAACAAATTCTCCCTGGTCATAGGAATCCCATGATTCACTTCACATGAAAGTGGTCTCTGAGAGTATCACACTGGAAACAAAGGAGCTCCTCTTTCATGGTTTCTATTCTAGACAGTGTGGCATGAGGTGATGTAATGAATTCACCACAGAATATCAACCAAGCTTGTGTACGTCAGGCGCAGAGGGAGACACCTGGTAGCCCAGCATGTGGGAAGGTGTGCAGCATGCCGGGAAGAAGAGTTTAACACAATAGACTTGAACAACTTCTCTGAATGTAGCCCCTAATCCCTCATGAGCCCTCAGGCAGTCTCTTAGATCAAGAAGACATGGCCTCCCATCATTTTCCCAAGGCGATGTTTAATGTAGAAGTAAAAGAGTCTATCTAATTTCTTTTTAAAAACTGACTCTTGTTCCCAAGGACTCCCTCTGTGCCAGGCAGTGCACTCAGCAGTTAATGAGTTTAGTAATTCTCCCAGTAGGCTCATGAAGAAGGGAGTAGTATTATGGCAGGAAAATAAAAAGCCTGCCCTTCTGCATGTGATTAGGCAGTGCAAATATTCTAATCCCATGTTTATCTACCATCTCCACATTTTCAGAGGCAGGAAATCAGGCTGAGGGCAGATACATGCCCTGCCACTGATCCTCCAAGACGCTTGCTCCCATTTACGTGTCCTTTCCACCCTCTATCCCAGCACATGGTACCTCAGCCATGGTCTCGGTGATGGCAGGAGTTTCCCATCATGCACCAGTACTGCTCCAGGTGAGATGATGCTTTCTTATCCTCTTACCCAGGCCTGGAAACATGTGCTAGGCTTCATCCTTCACAGACAACCACACTTCCTCTGGGAGAGATTGTTAGTTAGCCCTGACATTCGTTCCTCTTCAGTAATGGAACTTCCGATTTTTACTTGATAACTATGTATTAACTATAGTAACATTAAAAAGCATATTATCCAACCTCCATTACAACTACATTTTTCCTGGTGACCAGGTTTCAGACAGTGGAATATAAGCAGAAGAGTCACATGGCAGCTTCCAGGTCAAAGCAGCACATGTCACTGACCCATGTGTGTGCCTTGTCTCTTCCTCCTTCTTGTATTCTGTGCTTCAAGATGATTGATGGAGCTGGTACCACCACCTGTGAGGAAGCCTTGGAAATGAGGGCCCCACACAGCTGAGTACAAGCTGAAAAGGACCTGGATTCCTGAGGACTTCAGCCCTAGGCTTCTCACCTTTGGACTTTGACATGGTAGAAAAATAAAATTATCTCTTGTTTAAGCAAAATTACTTTGAGTCCTTTACTTGTGATTTGAATAAAAAGATGACCAAGTCAGGGTCATTGCACTCCAGCAAGACGCAATACCTCAATGAGGGTACATGGTTTGATGATGCTTTTTAAATCCTCTTGTCAATCTTTGTTATGATACTAATGTTTATTGGAAAGCGATGACTAACCTCACTGGACTGCCCTCCGTGTTTGAAACCAATTGAATGTTTTTAAAAAATAAGGTTAAATACTTATCAAAAATATTAACTTCATAGCTGCTAATGCTAGGTTGGTTGTATCAGAGATAAAATTGGTTTCTTAATACAGTTGACCCTTGAACAATATGGGTTGGAACTGCTAAAGTCTACTTATGTGCAGATTTTTTTTCAGCCAAGCATGGATAGAAAACACAGTATTTGTGGGATCTGAAATCCATGTACATGGAGGGCTGATTTTTCACATATGCATGTTCTGCAGGGCCAACTGCGGGCCTCGAGTATGCACGGATTTTGGGTTACATGGGGGTCCTGGAATCAATCCCTCTGCATATACCGAGGGATGACTGGACTTCGTACTGCAAGTCTAGACCCGTGGACTCATGCATGCGGAGGACAAAGGCTGCCTGCTCCCAGCCAGGCACAGAGAGCTCAGGAGACTCAATGGTGAGTTTTCCTCTGACAAACCAGTTCATATATATATATATATATATATTTTTTTTTTTTTTTTTTTTTTGAGACAGAGTCTCTTTCTGTGGCCCAGTCTGGAGTGCAATGGTGCTATCTCAGCTCATTGCAACCTCTGCCTCCCGGGGTCAAGCGATTCTCCCTGCCTCAGCCTCTGGAGTAGCTGGGATTACAGGCGCCTGCCACCACGCCCAGCTAATTTTAATTTTTTTTTTCTTTTTTGTTTTTTTGGAGACGTAGTCTCTCTCTGTCGCCCAGACTGGAGTGCAATGGCGCAATCTCGGTTCATTGCAACCTCCGCCTCCTGGGTTCAAGCGATTCTCCTGCCTCAGCCTCCTGAGTAGCTGGGATTACAGGCACCCACCACTACACCTGGCTAATTTTTTTATTTTTAGTAGAGATGGGGTTTCACCATGTTAGTCAGGCTGGTCTTGAACTCCTGAGGTGATCCGCCCGCCTCAGCCTCCCAAAGGCATTTCACATATTAACTGCACTCAATAGAGAGGTGACCAAAAGGATATCAGCATCCTGCCATCTCCCTAATGGGACACACCCTTTGCCCTTCCACAAGGATGTACAAGTATCTGTGCACGTCTGTGGTGCGGGGTGTCCTAACATTCCTGAGGGCTGGAAGCTTCTATTTCATGGTCCAGCAGGAAAACGTGGAGAGACAAAGAAAAGCTCCCCCTGTCCTTTGGGAGATGCTGCTTAAGACAAAATAGAGACCAGAGGTAATTTTGTTGGTAAAAATGAGCCACATGAGGGATATATGAATTGAATTTGGCACAACAGAGCAAAAAACCTGGTGATTCCAAGTGCCTGTAAGTTATTTCTTGGACAGGACTCTCCTCACACCATATTTCTGTAAAGGATATGAAACATGATTGCCTATTCCTTACATTTTCACATTTTGTTGTTTTGGTTTTGGTTGGGGAAACTTTAATTTATTTATTATAAGGATGGCTGCCATCCAAACAATGAATCCAATGCAGATTTTACCCTCATGGTCTTAGCTTCCTCCCTCTCTTTGTACGTGGTGTAAAAACCCCCTTGTGGTATAATTGTGTGTCTGGACCTTGTCATCAGGACTATTCCAAGCCCAGTTCTCTTCCTTGGTCTACTCCCTCAAGCATCTTTCTTTTGATAAGGCTGCCTCTGACTCAAAGACAGAGTTCTCTTTTATCAGAGAAACAAATGAGCCTGGCTAATGACGGGGATGAAAATTGGACCTATAATGAGCTGCTCTATCATAAGTGCGTGTAAATTACATATTCGGTGCTAGTTAAAGTTTTAACATGACACAATACCTTGTAATTACATAGATTTAATTAGTACATGCAGAAAATTTTTCATTAAGAATGCCTCACTAGGGCCAAAAATTCCTTCAAAAATCTCTCTTATGCATGGGGGTTTGAACTAGCCATGAAGGGGTTCCCGGCTGCACATTCAAAAGCAACGCTGAAAACGAAATGTTGGCACACTCCTGAGGAAGAGACATTAAAAGGTTTAAAGACTACACACACTTCCTGTATAGTTGTGACACCAATAAATTGGGCACCAAATATAATCGTCAGGTCACTGTTCTTATCTGAAGGGAAAATAAATTCTTGGAAACAAAATTTGGCCTGAAGATTTTTGCAAGATTGGAAAATCCTTTCTAATTTGTTTGTGGTTGTCCGTATGACCCACAGATATTTAATGGGTATCTCTCTTAAAAAGTATTTTTTAGAAACCAAAATATTACTTTACAGATATAGTAATAATAATACTACATCAACTATGCAGTAAGCATTCAAATTCTCCAATGATGGAAGCCTGTTTTATTTTATTTTATTCATTTTATTTTATTTTATTTTTGAGATGGAGTCGGCCTCTGTCACCCAGGCTGGAGCACAGTGGCACTGTCTCGGCTCATTGCAACCTCTGCCTTTCAGGTTCAAGTGATTCTTGTGCCTCAGCCTCCCGAGTAGCTGGGACTAAAGATGCGCACCACCATACCTAGCTAATTTTTTCTTTTTCTTTTTTTTTTTTTTTTTGTATTTTTAATAGAGACAGGGTTTCGCCACGTTGGCTGGTCTCAAACTCCTGACTTCAAGTGATCCGCCCACCTCCGCCTCCCAAAGTTCTGGGATTACAGGCTTGAGCCACCGCGCCTGTCGGGAAGCCTGTTTTAAAGCCATTAACATATCGTGTGCGGATTTAATTTTTCTTATAAATTAGCACGCCAGCATTTCATTCTCCTTTGTTCTCGCTGTACTCAGCAAATGCTAGTACTAGGTACATCTTTGCCTGAGTTTCTGCAGCTGCCTTTTCTGGCAGAGCTTGTTTTGTTGCAAGACACATGTTATACAATTCAATTGTCCAGATAAAAACCAGGCTTAGCTTGGTTTAAAAGGCAAACATATTAGCAGCTTGGTGGAAAAATAGAGGCATTTGACTGGAAGAAATGAAATCAGCTTTTGAAAGAATGAAAATATGCATGAACAGTAAAAAAGGTGAGAACCACCATCACTAGGGAAAGAACAAGGGTATTAATATCGCCTTAATTTATAGAATTTCTTGGATAATGCTGGGGTTGATTTTCATCTGATTATTGCAGATACAAATAGGAAAAAGAAAAACAGGCTTATAAGTGACTCATACCTATCATGAGTGACTAATTCCAGTTCTGTTCTGTTCTGACTAACAAAGCAAATAGTTTGTGTGTAGGTTGTTTTTGGAAGGAAAATGATTTGAAACAAGGGTCTAAGCTGTTTCAGCAAAGTATATTAAGCCATCGGTAGTTTAGAATATTATTTCTATATTCCTATGAAAATAACGATAAGGCTTGTTAGAGAAGAAATATAAGCAAACCGATATATCCCTATTATCTGAGCATATGCTTTGGTTTTTCTCAATATTATCAATAAATAGCTTTTTGATAATTGGCCAGGTAGTAAGTAATCATTACGGTCAAGCTATTGACACTATTGAAGCCTGTCTTTCATTTTTGAATCAGTCCATGCCCATCCCATCTTAGGACCTTTGAACTTGCTGCTGCTTCTGCCTGAACCCTCTGCATATGGCTGGGTTCTTTTTTTATCCTTTTCCTTTAGAAGAAGGATCCCTTATGTCACCTCCTAGGAAAAGCCTTCTCTGTTCACCCTAATAAGATAGCCCAACCACCCCCATTCTAGTCTGTCTCCATCAGATTGGCTTCTTTTTACCCTTCCATCCCAGCATTATCACAGTCTAACAATAGTCTGTTTCCTTGTTTTATTGACTGAATCCCTGCATTAGGCTGTAAGCTGCATGAGACCAGGATCCTAAGCTGTCACTTTCAACACTGTTTCCCCAGGCACTAGGAAGGGGCGCAGTCACAGTAGGCATCATGAGGAACGAAGGAAGGAAGGAAGGAAGGAAGGAAGGAAGGAAGGAAGGAAGGAAGGAAGGAAGGAAGGAAGGAAGGGAGGGAGGGAGGGAGGGAGGGAGGGAGGGGGGAAGGAGGGAGGGAGGGAGAGGGGAAGGAGGGAGGGAGGAAGTGGGGGAGGAGGGAGGAAGTGGGGAAGGAGGGAGGGAGGAGAGAGGGAGGGAGGAAGGAAGGACCCACAGATAGAGCTCAAGGGCAATTCATCTCTTACTGAATTCCTCTCTGGAAAACCCAGCATCATAAGGCAGTTGTGGCTTAATTATCTTTAAAAAAACAATTTGGGGAGGGAAATAATAGGAGAAAAAGGCTAGGGAAACTTTTATTTGTTGATTTCCAAATAAGGCACTTAAAACATAGCAGAAGTTTTCAAAGTAAGCCAGAGAAAGTTTAATATCTTGTTGACAAAAGGACCGAGTTCTGTGAAATGTGAAGACATGCAGTCTGCTTTTACCTTCAAAGTGCTGTCGGTCACTCGTGCCCTCTGCTTTGACAGTAAGAATGCAAAGACACAAAATACTGCCTTGTACCTCATCAAGATTCTCTCTCACCACAGCAAGAGAAATGCAGACCCTGAATCTTGGTAATGTGTCACTATAATTTAAATATAGATCATGATGAAGACACCATACATTATGTCTAGTTTAAGTAGCTCAAGTGGAAGGAGGAGTGTGAGCGTGGGAGGGTGTGCTTGTTGAGGAGTGAGTAAATATAAGGAGAATATGGTACAAAGCATCACCTTTATAAAAAGAATAGCCCACAGCCCTACGCTTTCTATGTGGCTGTGCCTTGTCTTCCCAGCCAAGGCTGCAAACTTTTCGAACGGTAGCATGTATCTTTTTATTTTTTCTCGGAAACCAACACACTAACCTAGACTTGGGTGCACAGTGGATGCCGTATAGTCTATGCTACGTTCACCTGCCCGTGTCACCATGGATGCCTCAGGCACTTGAGCTGCAACTAAAGGTCACTCCACCACAGTGCTGGTGTAAATAGAGTCCACGTGTATATTCTGTGCTTCTGCCAACCTACCCGTCACATAGTATTAATTCTTTAACTTCATGTCCAGGCCCAGTGAAACTTTGCTTGCTTTGCCTTTCTTCGCAAGGGTGCTGTGGGGTTAATTCATTCCTGGGCACTGGGTTGAGGGCACTGGGAGCTGGACAATTTCTTACATATCCGCAGGGGCTCTTTGCATTTTTTGTCTGGTGGCAAAGCGGTACCAGAAAATATGCCTTTCCATATATAATTCCATGCTTTCCTCTAATAATAATAATACTCCATTTATAATAACCATGGGCCAGGCACGGTGGCTCACGCCCGTAATCCCAGCACTTTGGGAGGCCGAGGCAGGCGGATCAGGAGGTCAGGAGATCCAGACCATCCTGGCTAACAGGGCGAAACCCCGTCTCTACTAAAAATATAAAAAAATTAGCCTGGAGTGGTGGCGGGCGCCTGTAGTCCCAGCTACTGGGGAGGCTGATGCAGGAGAATGGTGTGAACCCGGGAGGCGGAGCTTGCAGTGAGCCCAGATCGCGCCACTGCACTCCAGCCTGGGAGACAGAGCGAGACTCCGTCTCAAAAAAAAAAAAAAAAAAAACCCATGATTTCTATATAGGAAAGCTGCCATATAGTCATTTTAATAACTGATTAAAAGGTAAGAATGACAGCCTAGAAACTACAGACCCAAGATCCAAGCCTGGAATCATGCCGTACATCTCGAAACGGGCAAATGCAATTAAAAATCCCGCAGCAGGCAGTTCAGCCATGGAGGAAGGAACATATTTTGGTCTTGAAATTTGCTTTCAGCTTCCCCAGCACTTATAATCCGATTTTCGCCAGCGGAGATGAATAATGACCCTCCTCAGCCTATTTACGGCGGATGGAGAAGAATGATGATCACACATATTGATTTTCCTCCCCCTCTTTCTTGTTGCAAGAGACTTGAGGAAAGATGATCTCGTTTATCTTGAGCCCTGCTGTGCTGGGGATGAGGTGAATAAGCATTTCCAAGGAAAAAGAGGAGGGGCCCCTAAGGTCCCAAATCAAAGAATGCGTTTGTGGGAGGGTTTCCAGCTCTGGGTCGCTGAGGAAGCTTAAGAATTTTCAACAAACAAAATGATGTTTAAAAGAAACGTCTCATACATGTTCTGAAAACTGGATGAAACGCATAGAAAATATGTTTTGTGTGGCCTGGAGCTTGTTTAATCTACTATTAGACAAGAAAAGATCCTCTATGTGTTTTCTCCACGGCTTGTTTTTAGTCAACTTTAGTGAGTGTAATTATACAATGAAAGGCACCCACGTTACGTGCGCAGGTGGGAGAGTTCTGACCAGAGCCTGGGATTGTCTGTTGCCACCTCCTCTGTGCAGGCTTTTGTCTCTCCAGGGTGCCCCTCCTGGGTCACAGAGCCCCCCACTCCTCTGGAACCCTTTTCTCCTCCCCTTCTCCTCTTCTCCATCTCACTGTGGATTGCAAACTGCCACACTTCTGAGCCCCTCTTCTGAAGGTCGTCATGCAGAGAAGGGGGTTGGGGGGTCGGCTGCCATTTTCCCAATTTCTCAGCCCAGGGCCTCACCTGAGTTGATACCTGGCAAATATCTGTGGGATCAATGTGTGGCCAAAAGACTGTGGCTTCCAGGGAGGGGCAGGGAGGGCAATTTAAGAGGAAGGGGGTCGGTTGAGGTGGCTCATATCTGTAATCCCGGCACTTTTGGGGGCCAAGATAGGAGGATTGCTTGTGACCAGGAGTTCGAGACCAGACTGGGCAACATAGCAAGACCCCATCTCTACCAAAATATATATTTATAGTGGGATGTGGTGACATGGGCCTGTGGTCCTAGCTACTCAGAAGACTGAGGCAGGAGGATCGCTTGAGCCCAGCAGATTGGGGCTGCAGTGAGCTATGATTGCGCCACTGCACTCCAGCCTGGGTAACAGAGGGAGACCCTGTCTCAAAAATAAATAAGTAAATAAATAAGAGGAAAGGGTCCTAGGTAAGATCCTTGCTGGGAGAATTGCAATTCCCACTTCAAGTGTCAGAGCTCCAGGGTGTAGATGCCAAGGTTTGATGTTTCTCACTATCTTGTACAGAGATCTCACTTACAGTGAGTAAGGAACCAGCACGTGCGGGAGGAGGGAGAGCCTAAGGGGCTGGAGTGGAGTCTGTCCTGTGTGCGGAGATGCTAGGCCACTGGAACAGATTTCTGCTGGACTGAGGGATCATGGCTTGAGCCCCACCACACTTCAGAACCCGGGGAAGGGGCAGGACAGAGCCACAACCCCTTTCTGTTCCTTAACACACACATCTTGTCCTTCTCCCTCCTTCATCCTACCCCACCACATCCCCAGCAAGCTGAGCCCTGCCTGGCTGCCAGGTCTTTGGGCAGAGCTTAGAAGCCCCTGTGTGACTGGGAGGCCAGAAACCCTTCCCTGGCCAGGAAAGAAGCTGGGGAGGCCTGAAGGTCCGACTACTCTGCCACTGCGGAAAGGGAGGTCACCCTGAGTCCCCAAGTCCAGGGCAATTCTCTGCTAATATGTGCATTTATTGCTATAATTTTCCTTTCAAATATGGCTTAATATGGCTTTAGCTGCCTTTTTTTTTTTTTTGAGATGGAGTGTCTCGCTGTCACCCAAGCTGGAGTGCAGTGGCACAATCTTGGCTCACTGCAACCTCAGCCTCCTCAGTTCAAGTGATTCTCCGGCCTCAGCCTCCCTAGTAGCTGGGATTACAGGTGTGCGCCACTATTCCCAGCTAAGTTTTGTATTTTTAGTAGGGACAGTGTTTCACCATGTTGACCAGGCTGGTCTCAAACTCCTGACCTCAAGTGATCTGCCCGCCTAAGCCTCCCAAAGTGCTGGGATTACAAGTGTAAGCCACCGTGCCTGGCCTAGCTGTCTTTGATATATAGTATTTTCATAATTACTCAGATGAAAGTATTTCATAATTTACAGCATGGCTCTGTGACATGCTCTATTTAGAAGACGATTTCTTTAAATCTGTCCATTTAGGGGTGATGCAGTTGCCATCATCATCATCCTAGTTTTATTCCACAGCGAGAAGAGAAGATACGCTACGATTTCAATTATTTGAATGGCTTACAATTGGCTGGGTGGTAAAGCTTGTGGACAATTTGGGGACATATTCCATGTTCTGTGATTGTTGGCTTCTGCGTTCTAATACGCCATTTGGATCAAGCCTGTATTTCTGCAGTGCAAAACTCCTATATTCCTAAACATTTTATGCCAGAGCTCTATCAGTTAAGAGAGGTTTGAGAAAATCTCCCACTGTGATTGTCTATTTCTTATATTTCTTCCTTTGGTTCTGTCAAATTTTTGCTTTCCACTTGTATGTGCTGTTTAGACTTGCTTTCTCGTCACATCATCGTATACTTTGAAGCACTTTTTGCCATAAAATCTGTTAAAAGAACGCCAGCCTACTTTTGTTTCTTGTCTGAATAATGCTTCCCTGGGCTTTTACTTTTATTCTTCCATATTTTAAATATGAAGAAATGTCTTCATATTTAAAATCCCTATAGTGTAAGCATTATGTGGCTGAGTTGTACATTTTATCTTGTTTGACAAAGCTTAAATTTTTATTGGATGTTGGTTAATTTACGTGTGATGATTTTAGTGATATGTTTGTGTTCAGATTTGTTTCCGTTTGCTGCATTCATTTTTCCCTCCTGTTGAATCCTTGCATTAACAGATTATTTTGATTTAGCATCCTCCATTAGCATGTTATTATTCAGTTCCCCTGGAGACTATGATGTGCATCTTTGATTCATAATTCATAATAATTAAAGATAAATTAATGCTTTCATCATAACCTTAAAAATGTTAACAATTTAAGACATTTTAATTCATTCCATTTCTTCTGTCTTTTGATTTGTTGGATTCACGTTTTTAAATTCTACATACATTTTGAAACTCACAAGGTATTATTGTTATTATGATTGATTTATGCAGTTTAGGTTTATCACAGATTTTTTAAAAATTTGTATTCATTATTCCTTTCATTTATATTTATCTGTCTGAAATGATTTTCCTATCCCTAAAACTGACTGACGTGGTTTGGATACTTGTCCCTTTAAGTCTCATGTTGAAATGTAATCCCCAGTGTTGGAGGTGGGCCTAGTGGGTGGGGTTGGGATCATGGGAATGAATCCCTCATGAGTGGCCTAGCACCATCTCCTTGGTGATGAGTGAAGCGGTTGTTTAGAAGTGTGTGGTGCCTCCTCCCTTTTCTCTTTGTCCTGCTCTTGCCATGTGATGTGCTGGCTCCCTGTTGCCTTCTGCCATGATTGGAAGCTCCCTGAGGCCTCACCAGAAGCAGATGTCAGCACCATGCTTCCTGTAAAGTCTGCAGAACCATAAGCCAATTAAACCTCTTTTCTTTATAAATGACCCCAACCTTAGACATTTCTTTATAGCAATGCAGGAACAACCTAACACACTAACAAATTGTATGGTTTTTAGTGTACATTTGGTGGCACTGAATTCTCTCAGTCTTTCTTTTATATAAATTTTCATTTTGCCTTCATTTTAAACTTTTTTGGTATGTTATTTCTAGATAGAGAATTCAAAGATGACAGGCATTTTCTTTCAGTTATCTCTTTTACTTAATTTGTATAAATTTAAGGGTACAAATGCTATTTTTTATTAAGTGGTTGTTTTGCCTAGTGGTGAAGTCTGGGCTTTTAGTGTGTCCATCATCTGAATAATGCACATTGTATCCGTTAAATAATTTCTAATCATCCACACCCCTCTCCCCACTCCCTGACCCTTCCAAGTCTCCAATGTGTATCATTCTACTCTCTATGTAATTTGATTTGGTTGTCTTCAGACTTAATTTTGGTTTTGTGGTGTGTGTGTGTGTGTGTGTGTGTGTGTGTGTTGTTTTTGATAGGGTCTTGCTGTGTCTCTCAGGCTGGAGAGCTGTGGTGCAATCACTGCTTACTACAGCCTCTACCTCCCAGGCTCAAGTGATCCTCACACCTTAGCCTTCTGAGTAGCTGGGACTACAGGCATGTGCTCCACACCCAGCTAATATTTTTTTAATTCTTTTGTAGAGACAGGGTCTTACAATGTTGCCCAGGCTGACCTAGAACTCATGGTCTTAAGAGATCCTCCTGTCTCAGCCTCCCAAAGTGCTGGCATTATAGGTATGAGCCATCCACTGTGCCTGGCCAATTTTGTATGCTGAGAAATTAGCTAAAATTCTTATTATTGCCTCTTTGAATAGAATGTGTGTTTTTCCCTTTGTTTTTGTTTTCATTGGTTTGCACTGGTGTGTCTAAGTGTTTTATTTTCCTTGTATTCCTCTTGCATTGGGTTAGTAGAAATTCTTTAATCTATGCTTACATTTCCATGATCAAGTTTAGATATTTCTTATCCGTGATTTTTTCAAGTATTTTTTCTACCCTATTCTCTCTTCCTCTAAGAGTCTAGATACAAATTTGATAGGCTTTTTAAAAAATAAATAAAACAAAGTAGTTTTAGATCTATAAAATTATAAATTTATATAATAGGGAGAGTTCCCACATACCCCACACTGAGTTTCATTTTGTGTTAACATCTTACATTAATATGAAACATTTGTCACAACTAATGAATCAACATTAATACATTATAATTGATATGGTTTAACTGTGTCCCCATCTAAATTTCATCTTGAATTGTAGGTCTTATAATGCCCACGTGTCATGGGAGGGACTAGGTGGAGATAATTGAATCATGGAGGCTGTTTTCTCCATCCTGTTCTCATGATAGTGAGTGATTTCTCTTGAAATCTGATGATTTTATAAGGGGCTTCACACTGCACTTCTGCTTCCTGCTGCCATGTGAAGAAGGACATGTTTACTTCCCCTTCCACCGTGACTGTAAGTTTCCTGAGGCCTCTGCAGCCATGCTGAACTGTGAGTCAATTTAACCTCTTTCCTGTATAAATTACCCAGTCTTGGGTGTGTCTTTATTAGCAGAATGAGAATGGACTAATACAATCATTAATTAAAATCCATACTTATTTCAGGTTAATTTTGGTTTCTTAGTTTTTCTTTAATGTCCTTTTTCTATTTCGGGATCTCATCCAGAATACCTTATTCCATCTAGTAGCCATATCTTCTTAGGCTTCTTTATGCTATGACAGTTCCTCAAAGTGTCCTTGTTTTTTCATGACTCATACAACATGTAGCCATTTCAGATTGGTCATTTTCAGTAGCAATATACATTTAAGATTCATTCACATTTTCATGTTTCTGAACAGTTCATTCCTTTACACTGGTGTACAATATACCATTGTATGGATGTACCAGGTTTGTTTAATCATTTGTAAAACTATATCTCCATTACTTCCAGTGTCTGTTGAATATGAATAAATCTATTAAAATATTCATATGTGAATTTGGTGTGAACATGCTTTTTTTTTGAGACAGGGTCTTGCTCTGTTGCTCAGGCTGGAGTGCAGTGGCATGATCTCAGCTCACTGCAAACTCAGCCTCTAAAGCACAAGCAATTCTCCCACTTCGGCCTCCCAAGTAGCTAGGACTACAGGCATGCACCACCATGTCCAGTTAATTTTTGTATTTTTTGTAGAGATGGGGTTTTGCCATGCTGACCAGGTTGAGTCTTGAATTCCTGAACTCAGGCGATCCACCTGCCTCAGCCTCCCAAAGTGCTGAGTCATGAGCCATGGAGTCTGGCCAAAAATACATTTTTAAGTCAGTTGGTTAAATACTTAGGAACATGGTAGCTAGATTGTAATGATAAGACTATGTTACACTTTGTTGAGAATCTGCCAAATTTTCCTCAAAATTGCCAGTACCATTTTGTCATCCCACCAGCAATACAATACCATACTAATAGTTGTACAATTGCATTGCGTCATTATTTTCATTTTCATTTCCTTAATGGTGAATGATGCTGAACATCTTTTCATATACTATTTGCCACCAAAACACTGTAAAGTGTCTCTTCAGGACTTTTGCCATTGTTTGATTGGGCAGTTTGGGGATTATATATTTTTTTCTTACTTTGGAGTTGCATTGTTTTTAATAATTTTAACTTTCATTTTAGATTTGGGGTTACATGTATACATTTGTTACATGGGCATATTGTGTGACACTTAGATTTGGTTTATGAATGATCTTGTCACCCAGCTAGTGAGCATAGTGCCCAACAGGTAGTTTTTCACCCCTTTCTCTCGTTCCCCTTTCCACTTCTAGTAGTCCCCAGTTTCTATTGTCACCATCTTTATGTCCATGATTACCTAATATTTAGCTCCCAGTTATAAGTGAGAACATGTAGTATTTGGTTTTCTCTCACTGCACTAATTCACTTAGGATGATGGCTTCAAGTTGCACCCATGTTACGGCAAAGGACATGATTTTTTTCTTTTTTATGGCTGGGTAGTATTCCATGGTGTGTCTATACCACTTTATTTCTTAATCCAATCTACCATTGATGAGCACCTACATTGATTCCATATCCTTGCTATTGTGAACAGTGCTATGATGAACATATATGCATGCTGCTAATGCCACAGAATTTTGTAGAATTATTTATTTTCCCTTGAGTATATACCCAATAATGAGATTGCTGGGTCAAATGGTAGTTCTGTTTTTAATTCTTTAAGAAATCTCCAAATTGCCTTCCACAGTGACTGGACTAATTTACATTCCAACAAACAGTGTACAGCCTCACCAGTGTCTATTTTTTTTTTTGTATTTTTAATAATCACCATTCTGACTGGTATGAGATGGTATCTCATTGTGGTTTTGATTTGCATTTTGCTGATGATTAGCAATATTGAGCAATAGGTTTTGTGACCACTTATATGTCTTCTTTTGAGAAGTATCTGTTCATGTCCTTTGCTCACTTTTTAATGGGGTTATTTGTTTTTTGCTTGTTGACTTAAGTTTCTTATAGATTCTGGATATTAGACTTTCACTGGATTAATAGTTTGTGAATATTTTCTTTCATTCTGTGGGTTGTCTGTTTACTCTATTGATAATTTCTTTTGCTGCGCAGAAACTCTTTAGTTTAATTAGGTCCCACTTATCAATTTTTGTTTCTGTTGCAATTGCTTTTGAGGACTTAGTCATAAATTCTTTGTCAGTGCTGATGTCCAGAATGGTATTTCCTAGGTTTTCTTCTGGGATTTTTAAAGTTTGAGGTCTTACATTTAAGTTTTTAATACATCTTGAGTTATTTTTGTACATGGTGAGAAGTAGGGGTCCAGTGTTACTCTTTGGCATATGAGTAGCCAGTTATCACAGCACTATTTATTAAACAGGGAGTCTTGTCTCCATTGTTTATTTTTGTCATCTTTGTCAAAGATCAGATGGTTGTAGGCGTATGACTTTATTTCTGGGTTCTGTATTTTGTTCTATTGGTCTATGTGTGTTTTTGTACCAGTACCATGCTGTTTTGTTTATTGTAGACTTGTGGTATAGTTTGAAGTTGGGTAATGTAATGCCTCTGACTTTCTTCTCAAGTTTATATTTTTTGTGGCTTCTACTCCACATAAAAAGATCTCACTTGTGCTGTCTTTCTGGATTTGCTTGTCCCTTTAGATTTGGGGATGTCAGTTTGGTCTGTGATCTCAATTATCTGATGAGTCCAAGAGAAGTTATGGACTTTCTGTATATTCCATTTATTTATTTATTTATTTATTTATTTATTTATTTATTTATTTATTTGTAAGGCTATGAATAATGACTTCTGAACTCTTTATAGGTAGAATCTGAAACTGGAAATCCTTGAAGGACTTTTTTTTCCATGTCAATGGTGTATAAAAATGCCTGCACATTCTCTGTTACTCCTTTCCTTGAAAGGTGAAGTTTATTTGATCTTCCCTTGAATTATAGTTAACATTATTAAGGCTCCGATGATAGAATATAGCAGAAATCATGTTCTGATAGCCCCTAAAAGATACTGCAAGGACACTGTCATCTTCTAATACTTCTTTGTTGAAATACATACTCTTGAAATGCTCCTATTTGGAGTTGAGTCACTGAAAAATTCCACAGAAGAATTATCTGCTGGAGAGAGAGCTCATTTGGGGGAACACAAAGGCATCAGACATATAAAATACTCAACCTTTGATATTTCTGCATCTAGTAGTTTGTGTCATCCTAGATGACACCCCAGACATCATGGAGCTTTGGTGAGTTGGCTCTACAGTGCCTTTGTCCAAATTACTCATTCATGATAACTATTTAATAATAATATGGTTTTATTACATCACTAAGTTTGGGAGACGTTTGTGACATAGACATAACCACAACACTCCCCTACATACCTCTATGGCTTCTGTGTGTCTTCCCTTCTTTTTATTTTTTATTCTTAAATCTGAATATTTACTACCAACGTATTTTTGAAATCACCAGAACTCTCTTTACCTGTGTCTAACATGCTTTTAAATATAATCACTATGTTTTTAATTCACTTATATTTTTCAGTTCTAGAATTTTCTTATATATACTTTAAGTCCTAGGATACATGTGCAGAACATGCAGGTTTGTTACATAGGTATATACGTGACATGGTAGTTTGCTTCACCCATCAATCTGTCATCTACATTAGGTGTTTCTCCTAATGCTATCCCTCCCCTAGCCCACCACCAACCAACAGGCCCTGGTGTGTGATGTTCCCCTTGCTGTGTCCATGTTTTCTTATTGTTCAACTCCCACTTATGAGTGAGAACATGCGGTGTTTGGCTTTCTGTCCTGTGTTAGTTTGCTGAGAATGATGGTTTCCAGCTTCATCCATGTCCTTGCAAAGGACATGAACTCATATATAGACCAATGGAACAGAACAGAGCCTCAGAAATAATGCCACACATCTACAACCATCTGATCTTTGACAAACCTGACAAAAACGAGCAATGGGGAAAGGATTCCACATTTAATAAAAGGTGTTGAGAAAACTGGCTAGCCATATGCAGAAAACTGAAACTTACACCTTATACAAAAATTAACTCAAGGTGGATTAAAGACTTAAACATAAGACCTAAAACCGTAAAAACCCAGTTCTAGAATTTTTATCTGAACTTTTATAAGTGAAATTTATTTGTGGACATTCTCCTTCTTCTCATCTTTTTCGCTGAACTGCCTCCACTTCTGTATCCTGTTCCTTTTTGTGTCTGGTGTTGGAATAATAAAATAAAAATTATAGCATCTGGATAAATCTGAATAGAAGATACTTTATATTAATAGAAGATAGTTTGTGTAGGAGATTATCAATTTTATCTAATCTGGAATATGGATGGATGTGAGGCTGGGTTTCAGTCTTTATACATCTGAGATATTGCTAGCTTTCTCATCCCTATAGGGTAAAATCCTTCAGAGTTCCCAATCTAATTCTGAGTTGTTCAATAGGATCCTTCTTTTAGGTGAATCCTACACTTCAGTTTCGCACCCCAGCACTGTAAGACTTGTGAAAACTCTAAAATTTAAGTTTTTAGCTACTGCTTTGTGCTTAGTTTTGCTGCCCTCACATATGACCTTGGTGACACATCAGTAAATTTGTTGAGAGGAAAATTAGCTCCAAACATTGGGCTTATTTACCCGATCTCCCTTCTCCATGTTATGCTGGCCCCTCAATTCATTCCTACCATGGCAACCATAACCTCAATTTTTTTTCGCCATCACTGTGAGATGACTAAAATCTCTGCTCACCTATTCTACATATTACACTTTCTATTCAGCCTCTCTGGCCTGCACCACTTAAAAATCTAATAAATATCTTAGAACGAAAAAACAACATAAAATTCTAGGCTCACCTTAATGAAGTTGCATTCTCTCTTTCTTGATCTTTCCAACTCTGGAAGCCTTGAGAGTTCTTTGATGTCTTTTAAAATGTCACTCTTTGGTGTTTTTGGTCAGATATTTTTGCTGTTCTCAATAGTACAGATAGTTTGGTATAAACTGGTGCATTCTAGACAGAAATGGAAGAGCCTGAATGTCACTGTTTTTAAAAGCTTTTAAAAGAACGGGTAGTGTTTTTCCTTGTTAATATAAATTGGCCTGAAGCCATCTCCCTCGTTTTGTTTTCCTAGTGTTCATTTTTTCCTTTAATTTATTTTACCAATTTAATATCAAAATCTAACTTAAAAACAAAATTATGCAGGACAAGAGATGAAATAATGAAGAAAGACTGTCACTCTCAGAATATTTTTATTCTGGCTTAGGATATAAAGCTATATCACATAAAACACACATCAGCTAATTTAAAACAATTGCATTTAATTAGGAGACAGTTACACTAAGTGTAGGAAAATGTGTGTAAAATAGTAAGTACCACATAGACCTTATCACTCTATGGAACTTGTCTTAACATTGTAATTCTGTATTTTAAAGTTAGATTTAGCATGGTTGGCTCCTGGTATGGTCTCTTTGACCCAGTATTACAATCCAGATTACCGTCTTTCACAATCTTTTAAGCAAATTCTGACATTATTGGAAATGGTTTTCAAGGCTGCAATTGGAAAAAAATTCCAAGATAAACAAGGAAAGAAAAAACACCAGTCTTTGTAGGATGAAGATAGTTCTTTATAATGACTGAGCATCCAAATTCACTCTGAAGAACTTTAAAAACAACTCATTCCTATGGAATTCTGATATAGTGGGTTGAAATTGCAGGTATCTAATAAGATCACTGATGTGTGGAAGCCACAGGATGGACGATAATGACATCATTGGCCAGCACTTACCCTGTTATTGAACATCAGAATGGTTGCTTCATTCACAAAGATTTGACCAAGGGTCTTCTCTGTAAAACCACCAGGTCCTTGACCCATCGCCATAGCTGACTGAGTTAGCGGTGAAGGCATTTTGTCCAAGCAAGGTCCATCAAGTTCTCTTCTCCTGACAATTGAAGATTATATTGAAGACATCTAGGGGATTGAGGCCAAGCCCCACAGTGGATGTGCTTGGAGAAAAAGAGCATGAAATCCAGACATTGGGGTATCCCAGCTCTTCCCTTCCTGAATCTTGTTCAACATTCACTTCTCTCAATTATCTGAGCCAAAGCCTTCTAAGATGTCTCATTTTAGTGTTAATTATCCAGAACTGTAACCAAAGAACCTAACTAAAAACTCACTGCTGAAAATTACTTTCAGAGATGCAAATACCTGATAGTCAGTCAACCGCAGACACTGAGGATTCAACAACCAAGACTGAAATAGGGTTATCAACTCACATATGGGCACCCGTGAGCTGACAGAAACCTAGACCCTAATGAGTAGCAGATGGTGCTTCTGAATAAAATGGTCAATTAGCTGTTTTGAAAACAGTTAGCATTCTAATGATAATAACCCCTTTTGAGAATAGGGATTCCTCACATGATAAGGACATTATTTCCCACTAACTCAGCAACCTAAATCTAAATGATACCAATAGTTGTAAGAATTAACATTTATCAAGCACTTACTTAAATGTGTGCCAAGCTTTCATGCCCATAGCTTTAGACATATAATTACATTTACTCACCACCGCCATCTTATGGAAAATATCTTCTCATTTTCTGGTTTTGGAAGTGAAAAACAGACAACAAACAAAAACCCTGAGACCTAAAGAGTCCACAGTCCATGGTCTCTTGGGTAGCAAGCAGCAGAGCTGGGATCTGAATCCACATCTATCTGACTTGGGAATCCACATGGGCAACCTCTACTTTTCACTGCTCCCCTGTGGAAAGAGGGCCTTTCGGGCTATAACAACGTGTAGTGTCATCTTCTTAGCATGTGGGTTGTCCTTTCCAAAGGAATAAAGTTGTTTTTATTCATGTCTCAGCATCCCATAAAGTTTCTTTTAGAAATCTGTGCTGATTACTCAGAATCAATCTGTAAATGTGATACTAAAATCAATATGTATTATAGATTATGAAATGCAAACATTGTCTTAGTAAATATTTATGACATAATGCCCTAAATTGTGTTCAATATTATATTTTGATTATCATTTTTAAAATTTTAAATCATATAACAAAAGTCTAAACAGGCAACTAATCAATAGCACTTGAAAAAAGTAGGATTCTACCTTAGAAGCTTGGGGTTAAATAAGATATGCATGGGTTGCAGACGGGGTGCACTGAAACTCCTTACAAAAGAGTCACTTACGAAACCCAGTTTGCAACACTGGATAAAATCAAATCAGGAATAATTTTTCAGGGACCAGATATTTGTATTCAAAATTTGGTCTACAAAAAAAACCAGCAACAACAACACATACACCCATTTAATTAATATTCCAAAATAAATTGTTACTCATTATAGTCAACCTGAATGAATGCAGCCTTTCTCTGGCATCTTTGTGGGATTGGACACATTGTGAGTTCCCTCACGAAATACTTCATAGGATGGTAAAATTCAACAGAAACTCTTGTCTAGACACAATCCCTGCTTGGTCACCCTGGAATGCATCACAGAGCCACACGCTACTCTAGTGGGTAGAGGTCGAGATGCTGTCAATAATTCTACAGTGTACAGGATGGCCTCCCAGGATGATAAGTCATCTGATGCAAAATGTCAATCATATCAAGGTGGATGATCTGGTTTGGCTTTGTGTCCCCACCTAAATCTCACCTTGAACTGTAATAATCCCCACTTGTCAATGGCGGGACCAGGTGGAGATAATTGGATAATTGGGGTGCTTTTTCCATGATAGTGAGTGAGTCTCAGGAGATCTGATAGTTTTATAAGCGCCTGGCATTTCCTCTGCTTGCACTCATTCTCTCTCCGGACACCCTATAAATAGGTGCCTTATGCCATAATTGTAAGTTTCCTGAGGCCTCCCTAGCCATGCAGAACTGTGAGTCAATTAAACCTCTTTTCTTTATAAATTACTCAGTCTCAGGGAGTTCTTCATAGCGGTGTGGGAACAGACTAATACAGTGGAGAAAGCCTGTTTTAAAGGTCCACTTCCCTACCTAATATATTTATTATTAGTTATTTAAAAAAATATTAAACACAGAACTGTAGTCCAGGCTGTTCTCAGAACTAAGGCTTCAGCAATGACAAGGCAGAGTCCCTGCCCTGAGATTACCTCCTAACTAGTAACGTGACCTTTGGCAAGATAAGTAAACTCCTGAAGGTTGGTCCCTTACCTGTAGAATAGGAGTACATAATAATATCTAAAGTGCACATTTTTATTAAGGATTAAAGAAGTTTATAGACAAGTTCTCTTTTGTACCTGCCCTCAAATCCCATGTCCCCTTCCCACCACCCCTTGGGAATGATTTGTAACATCTTATCTAAGGGACTCCTTTGGTTTTAGATACCTTCAATCATCGGTAGGTTCTTGATCATGTTTGATGAAAACATACATTTTAATGTTAGTCCCATCTTGTAATATTCCTTATTTTTTGCTTTTTCACATTTGCCATGGGAGTTGCTGGTGCAAACAACAGGTGGAAAAGTTCAAGGGCAAAAGGAAGACTTGCTAAATATAAGTTTCTCTGCCATCAAAACCCATCTGTTTGTCAACAACACTGGCAGAGTGGCCATAGTATAGCAGACATTGAAGCAGGCTCTGCAAAGTGCATGACCATTATATAGACAGATGAGACAGATGGCCCCATGGAGATAGAAATCCACAGCAACTCTGAAGCCATGTACAACTCTCAACCTAAGTTCCAAAAAATCTTCCACGGTGTTTCAATTTGCAAAAGAGAAGTATAAGCAGATCCATAGAAATTAAAAACAAATACTCTCCAAATCTCTAAACTTTGTTCAGTGATGTAAAATGATCTCTAAACTTTGTTCAGTGAAATAAAAGTACTTAATCTGCTATAAGGTCTAGGCAAGTCCAGAAAACTTGCCCCTTGGTATGGCAGTGGGACAGCATCAAATCCTCCCAGCTGTTCAGTGCTTACAGTAAGCCTGGTGGCATGTCTCAATCCTTACAAGAGCCAAGAGAGGTGGATGCTGTAGAGATGAGAATGGTGTGGCTCAGCAAGGCTGAGGAGTGGGTGCAGCCTCTGTGGTGTAGACCTCCTTAGACCTTCTTCAGCACCAAGCATAGTGCCTTCAATTATTCAATCTTTAATGTTTTCTAAAAACAAAGATATGCATAAAGACCTATTTTCACAGAGTCAGGAGTCAAGAGAGATAGTCTATTACTTTGGGTGTGTACATTTTTAGATTACTTCATCTATTGCTTACAAAAAGACCGCTGGATTTCTAACATAAATGTGGTCTAGGCATATGTGTCCCCATTTCCCTGATGGACTTTTCCTAAGCCAATGTACAAGCTCCTCAGACTGAAAGAAATAACAGTTTTGCTGACCCTGTGTTGAGAGTAATTACTCAACATTTGATAAGAAGGCATAATAGGTTGCCCCAATTCAGGTAACAAAAGAGGTCAGGGTATCAGAAGCGGTTCAGAGACCCGTTTGTGGGTGCACACTTTTCTATCCGTCATATCTCTGTGTAAGAATATCAAAGTGTAAAAATGTGACTCTGTCTTGAACTTCTTCTACTCACATGGGTGAGATGAAATTTTAAATATTAATGGTTAAAGCAGCTGAGAAATGATCAACTAACTATATATATAATATAAAAAGACAGTTCACTTGAAATCTGAGAAGAGAATGTAAAAATGCAGTACTTACGTTTGAGGTGTTTTTCTTACTTTCAGATTCTAAAGGTTGAGAACGTTGGGTGTGATGTGACAATTCATTTTGCACCAGCGCTGCTGTCAAGGCCTTCACCCAGATGTCTGTGTTGAGGTCCCAGACTTCAGAAAAATGAGAGAACACGTCGACCAGGATGACAGAGAGAAATCCCAAAGCCATATGTGAAAGTTAATTTCTCCACTGGCCAGGCAGCAGGAGTCTGAGAGCCTCGATTTAACAGCTTGAATTTGAATTGAATAAAGCCTCAACCAGCTGCAACAAAAAGTGAAAGATTTCTGAAAAGTAACACTGATAATTGTGGATAAATTCATTGTGCTAATTAATCTTACTCTAACAGTAAAGTAATTTGATTCAAGTATCTTCCACTGAATAGGGCAACATAATGGACAGTGAAATATACACCTTCGATTGGTAAAGATTATAAATTAAAATTTTGATTTGTGTTTCCTTTGCTTTCAACTTTTAGTATAACCCATGGAGATTAAATTGGTCATTAGAAGGCACACTACATACAGTTTGGTACCTGAATACAACGACAAACAGACATACATAATTTTAAAAAATTTTTCAGTATTCCACTGCCTAATTTCTTTTTCTCTGCAAGAAAATTGTAGTTTTCAAAGCATTTGATTTTGCAATGACTTATAACTAAATAATAAGCCAATCTTAGAATGTGTCTTTTAGTGAACATATGTTCTCATTCATGTTGGCAAATATGTAAGGATGAAATGTTGGTTGTCAGGTATACATATATTCAGCTTTAGTAGGTACTGCCTAATAATTTTCCAAAGTATTTTAACAATGTTAATTAATATCTTGTAATGTTAATGTTATAAAGAATAATGTTTTCTCCTTTTCTGCTGATTATTTGGGCTAACATATTGCATTCTATGTTATTTTTTCTTGGAAATGTGGCCTCTATGAAATGAATGTAGATGCTTTTATCCTACTGATCATTGAACTCTGTTCCTAAAGGGAGTTGATACCCTCTGTGGCACTCTCATCTGGCGACAGACATCCTGAGTTTTATCTATTTCCTTCTCTTATGAGTAAGATAGTTAAACTCTTTGTGTTTCAGTTTTGTCACCTGCAAAATTGGGATAATAACAGTTCCGACCTGATGGTGATGTAGTGTGAAACAAATAACATTATATATAAAGTGCTTAGAAAAGCACTAGACACAATGTAAGGGCCTGAATTATGGGTTAACGCAATAATTATAACTGCAATAAACTGATCAGTGGAATACCATTTTATTTGCCATTTTTCTCTTGGCTGTCTTGCCAAAAAGTAATAAAATAAGGTGTGCTAGCTACTTCTGGGAAATAGTTGTCTCTCTTTAAAAAGAGAGAGATGGCTGGTCACGGGGGCTCCTGTCTGTAATCTCAGCGCTTCAGGAGGCTGAGCGGAAGGATCGCTTGAGATCAGGAGTTCAATACCATTCTGGGCAACATAGCGAGACCCCTGACTCGACAGAAAAAATACCAAAATAGTTAAGTGGGCATGGTGGTGCATGCCTGTAGTCCCAGCTATTTGGGAAATTAAGGCAGGAAGTCTCCTTGAGCCCTGGAGTTTGTGTAATGATGCAATCATAGCCATGAGCTATGATTGCATCATTACACACTCCATCCTGGGTAGGAGAGCGAGATCCTGTCCAGAAAAAAAAAAAAAAAAAATAGAGAGGGAGAGAGCTGCATAAGGAAAATATTTTTGCTCTGCTCTCACTATAGATTGGAAGTTGTCAGGTGTGGGAATGATATCTGGAATTTCAGCAGCCACGTTTGACCATGAAGAGACAAGAGTGAATAGAAAGCCAGAATCCCAAAATACCCCTATTGGAAAGGAAAGTCCGGTTTCCTGAAGACACCAGAGATCTGTGGACACAACTTGCATTGACCTGCCTTTGCATTTACTGTTAAGTACCCAGTAACCATAACTATCATTAACCTGTCTGTTAGGTGTGCCATGTCTTGCAGGCAATGTATCCTAAGTGATATAATTCAAAAGCCAGAAGGGGTAAAGACATCCCAAGGTACGTAGGAAAGAGTTTTCAGATGTGCCATCACTCCCCCTCCTCACTCCTGAAGAGAGGCCTCAGGAGCAAGCCAATCATAGCATTCAATACAAATGTACAAGATTGCAGTCAACATCTCCTTCATTCTTCCTTCCCTCTTTCTTCCTTTGCTGGCCTCTTTTCTGCTCCTCAAGCACACCAAGCATCCTCCTTCCTTAGGACCTTTTCACTTGCTATTCGCTCTGCAGAAAGTTATTTTCCCCAGATGACCCACGCCTTTCTCACTCATGTTCTTCAGGTGTTCAAACATCACCTGTGGGACAGGAGCCTTATGTGTGTAAACTAAATCAAGTGCAAGCACTTCCCCTCACTCTCTATTGTCCTTGCCTTGTTTTATATACATCGGCACACTCATCACAACCTGACAATCCATTAATCGTTTATAGCCCCTTCCATCATATTATCAACTCTCAGGAACTTTGTTGTTTATTTTTTGCTGTATCTCCGACATGTATAAGAGTGCCTAGTACATAGAGGGTGAACAAGAAAAATTTGTTGAATAAACTTCTTCAACAGACATGTATTAAACACCTACTAGATACCAGACACATAAAATAATTAATTAGATCTGATGAGCTATCAGTTTGATAGTTAATTTGAAAAGTAAAGATATCTTAAGGGAAGCTTAAAAATCATATTCTAGACATAGAATAAAATGCATTATACAACTTTAAAATGCATTTGACCTTTGAAATAAAAATATAAATAGCAAAGAATTCGTGTTGATTAATGACAGTTGGTGATTTATAAGAGCTCCCTATTACTGCAAATTCAATGCTTCAACAGCTTCTGAATTCTCAGACAGATATAAATTAATTTCTATTGACAGAAATAGCAAAGTCTTTATTCCTGGGTCTGGAAAAGGAGTTTATTTTAGACTAAGATGTTTCTGCATATGATTCATTTCCTAAAGCCCTGAATATTAAGACATTCTATGGTGCGCTCATAAAAACTCTGCTTTGGAATCTCACTTTGGCATTGTCTGATATCTGTTTTCAGGGCCTGTACCTTTCTAGGCTTTTGACCCCAAACCTGACTATAAGATGCTGAAGAGCTGACACTATACCTTTGCATTTCTTGCAGGCCCACAATGCAGCCTCAAAGTGAACACGTGCAGAAAGTCGGCACCAGGGACGTGCTGAATCGGGAGGAGGCACTGCTCAGCGGATGAGACCTAGGCATGGAAATCAAATAACTCAAGGCGAGATTTCTTATCTGCCTCTTACTATCTGTGTGACTTTAAGCAAGCCTCGTCTCTTTAAGCCTCAAGGTCTAAATGGACAAAACGCATGTAAAAAAATCAATATTGTTCTCCTTAATTCAATCAAATTAATAGAAAAAATAAATAGATAAATATTGTCTAAAACAAATAATACCAGTCTCTAATTCTGATTTTCTCCAAATGACTATTTCATCTTCAGTTACACCCTCTGACTTCCAGAGCATGGATTTTTGTTCCAGAAAAATTTCCCTTTAAAGCCTGCCTCATATCACTTCTAATAGCGTTCTTCTGTTTTGCGTTTTCTGAGTATTCTCTTAATCTAAGGTTCTCTATCAAGTTTTGTCTTCTAATTTCTACTCTTTAGAACATTCTGCACTCATCCAGTGGACATCCCTATAAGGACAATTTAGAGAACTGGCTATCCATGAATTTTTTTTTCCAGGAAGCCACAGATCTATACTGAGGAAGTATGATAGTGCCTCAAAAATACACAATTCTGCACACATTCTCATCAAGCCTTGACATTTGGGTATCTGTTAGAAATACATATGTTTTCTACTAATACTTTTTAAACTATCCAAGTAGATAACAACACACCCAGAACACATACAGCAAAATGTTTGCAAGAGAATTCATGTGAAATGCCAGGAACACTTATGCATATCTTTTTTCGTTTGCAGGCTTCTCTCTGAAAAAGAGTCTAAATGGCTCACGTGCCAAGGAGAAGACATCTCTACAAGTTGCAGCATGAATTAATGTGACATGGACCTTCCTATAGAGAAGTCAATTCTTAAAAGTAGAAATCAGTTTCTGACCCAGGAAAATGAGTTGGAACCAGGTAGTAACCAAATATCTCTATGGAATATTCTTTCTAAGACAGGTGGGTGAGGTTTGTAAATCTTTCAGGCTAATTTAACCAGCTAATTTCATGCAAAACACAGCTTTTTGTTTTACGATTTGTTTTTCCATTGAGAATCTTTTAGCAGTTGGTGATTGTCTCTGAGATTTTAACATCTTTCTACTTTTATCTGCTTTATTTACAATATTTATATACTCCCTAATATTGCTCTTTTGGGGGCAGATAAAGGGGCAGGTGAATGGCGGGGCTCATAAGCACAAAAATGACATCCATTCTATATCTACATTTATGTCTCTTCTATACATTCACATTTCTATATCTATCATCTATCTATCTATCTATCTATCTATCTATCTATCTATCTATCTACCTATCTATCATCTATCATCTATCAATTTACCTGCCTATCTATCCTGTGTCTGTCTTCTACATCTACATGCATACCTTTTCTGTATTTATACCTTCATTTATATTTGTGTTTGTGTATTCTACAGCTATATCTACTTTATATATTCTACATCTGTATCTAAATCTATATTTCTCCATCTATGTAAGTTTTGTGGTTCTCCACTTCATAAATCCTGTTACGGCCCCAGTGGTGGACAGAGCCAAAAAAGGATTTTGGAGCCAAAAACACATCCTTTCAAATGTGGTTTGGTTGTAAATATAGAAATAGTGCAGTTTCACCACTTCAAAAATTACCTGCTGGCCATTTTTTTCACGTCTGAGGATGGAGTTTAACTGGCAGTGAAATTGATGGCTAAAGAATTTAAAATGTTTCTCATAATTCTTCCTGAGTAGAGATCTCACCTTAAATCCTGCTGAGCTGATCAGTGCATTTACATCATCGGGATATTAGAGTTGAAAGTCACATCAGTTGCAGCAGCTCCCTGTCATGAACTTCCTCAGAAGGGAAGTAGAAGCTGAGCTTAAAAAGAAATTCCATCACCTTGAAGTAAGGCCACATTCGAGGTGTCTTTCAATGCTACTGATGCATGAAGCCACTTGTCTATTTTATCTCTAGCTAGAGAGAGACAGATAGGTATCTATATTCACAAATCTATCTATATCTATCCCTCCATCCCTCCATCCATCTGTCCATCCTTCTGTGCATCCATCTACCTAACTGCCTACCTATAGACATCTATCTATCTATCTATCTATCTATCATCTATCTATCTCTATATCTATCTATATATCTATCTGTCTATACATCTATCTACTTACCTACCTATACATCTCTCTCTCTTTCTACCTCCCTACCTATACCTATACACCTCTCTATGTATCTATGTATCTATCTATCTACCTTCCTACCTATTCATCTCTCTATCTACCTATCTACCTACATATACATCTATCTGTCTGCCTGTCTGTCTGTCTGTCTGTCTGTCTGTCTGTCTACCAACCTACCCATCTATACATCTATATATCTATCGACTATGTGGTTGAGAAACTGGGCAGTCAAAGTGGCTCATTTAAAGCATAAATTCAGTCATGTTGTTCTTGTGCTTAGAAGAAAAATGACTTCCCATTTGGCTTAGAATGAAATCCAAACTCTCCACCATGATGGGCCAGGCCTGTGTGACAGCTCCTGCTTCTGCTGTCCACTTTGTGCCCTTCTCCTTCACCCATCCTTACAGCCACAATAGGCTTCTCTCTGCACGCCCAGTAACAGAGAACTTTTAGTCGGCATCAGACCTCTTTGACAAGGTGACAGTTTAGTCAAAGGAATCCTGCAAGAAGAGAATCTGGCCCTGCAGCAACAGGGCAAAGGTTATTCAGCCTTTGAGAGCAGCCAGTGGAAAGGTCCTGAGGGGTAAGGAGCCCAGCAGGCATTGCAATGCCCGTTGCAAACTCAGATCATTCTGCTTAGTGTTCTCCGAACACTCATCACTATCTGAAATCGTCTGGACCATTTGTTTGTTGTCCGTCCCACTCATGTAAGTTCCATGAAGGAGGAGACTCTGTTTGTCTTGTCTGTATCATTGCCCAGGACCCTAAACCTAAAAGCCTGCATATGACACACTAAGTGCTCAGTGAATGCCTGGGGAATAAGGGAGCTGCATGATTCTTTCTTTCTCTTTCTTTCTTTCTTTCTTTCTTTCTTTCTTTCTTTCTTTCTTTCTTTCTTTCTTTCTTTCTTCTTTCTTTCTTTCTTTCTTTCTTTCTCTTTCTTTCTTCCTTCCTTCCTTCCTTTCTTCCTTCCTTCTTTCTTCTTTCTTTTTCCTTCCTTCCTTCCTTCTTTCCTTCCCTACCTCCCTCCCTCTCTCCCTTCTTTCTTTCCCTCTTTCTCCCGAGACTGGGTCTCACTCTGTTGCTCAGGCTAGAGTACAGTGGCATGATCATGGCTCACTGCAACCTCCACCTCCTGGGCTCAAGCAATTCTTCCACCTCACCCTCCCAAGTAGCTGGGACCACAGGTGCATGCCACCTTGCCCAGCTAATTTTTGTAGTTTTTGTAGATATGGGGTCTCACCATGTTGCCCAGGCTGGTCTCAAATTCCTGGGCTCAAGTGATCCGCCTGCCTCGGCCTCCCAAAGTGCTGGGATTACAGGTGTGAGCCACCATGCCCAGTGGGACCTGCATCTTTCTCTGCACAGACTTTCCAAATTCAACCTAGGTAAACTCGTGGCTGCTCTCCATCCCTGTGTTCCCAACCTATTGCTGGTTTCTTTGCAGAGTCCCTTCTCTTGTTGCCTCTTGTCTCTACCCTGGAGAACCAGGTTCACGTCTTAGCTATTACAGAGCCTCACCTCACTTCCAGAAGTAACTATAACCCTTTGAACACCTGGTTGGCATCTCTATTAGCCTCATTTGCTTATACAACTTACTTGTCTGGGTTAGAATTCTTGTTTTTTCACTTTCTGCGTAACTTTGGGCAAGGTGCTCACCTTTCTGTAGTACAGTTTTCTCACCTGTACAAATAGAGAGCATAATAGTACTTACCCCATAATGTTCTTAGGAGGATTACATGAGCTAATACATAGTCTAACCACAGAACTGCAGGCGGATGTCATGGTCGCCCATGAGCAGGTCCAAAAAGGACCCCTGAAGCTTAAAAGCATTGCAGAGCTCAGCATAACCAAGCAGAATAAGAAAAAGAAAGACCAAGACAAGGTGAAACTCAAGGAAGTGATGGAATGAGCAAAAAGATTAAGGAGCAGAAGCAGTGTGGCCAGGACAAGTGGATCCCAGCCCAGGTGGCCTTCAAGAATCTCCAGGAGAACAAATAGAGAGGATCCTGAAGAAAGCATCCAAAACTTACAGGCAGAGTGTGGAGGACTTCAGCAGACACCTGCTGCACACAATCAAGGAGCATGATGAGGTTCTCACAGCTAGCTGGACGATGTGGCCTCCGCCCTGAGGATGGAGCAGCAGTGCAGGGAAGCGGGAGTCCACACTGGAGTTGTGTCTGTTTCCTTTGGCATTTTCTAGAAACATTGCTTTGCATGCACCCTCGAATCTCCTGTTGTGACAGTGCTTTTCAGAGCTGTGCCCCCTCATTGGGGAACTTGATTAAAGTGAAACACCTTTTACTCACTTTAGGTTTCTTGGTGGCACATAGAAAGTACACCTTTACATGTAAATGGGAAGTTTTAAAAGCTTATCCAGAGGTAAAGGCCACTTTTGTGTCCATGCCCTGTAAAAATGTTTTTACCCTCGAGTTGCGTCTCACCCTCTGAGGCCAGCCAGCTGTCTTCGCCTGGATGAGATGAACTCCAGAGGATGAGGGGCTAATGCCAGTGTGACCTGCGGGTGCAGACTCCTGTGAGACCCGGGGTGGGTGCCCTTCCAAGTGTCCTCCACCTGTTCCCTGCAGGCCGCAGGAAAGCCACTTGCAGCTTTGTGGTCCTCCGACGGCCTCCTCGGCCACCTGGCGGGTGAGACAGTGCAGCCCGATAGCAAAGCAGCCATCTAAGGCAGCGATGTACTATTTGCCTCATCCCTTTCTAGGTTTGTCGCCCCAGATCCCCTTTCCAAAAACTCCTAATGGACATTGCCCATTGATTGCCACTTTTCTTTGTAATGAAGCCCAGACATGGGCTGCCTTGGCCCTCAGCTCAGAAACCCAAGGAGCCTCTTGAGTTTACCCAGAGTTGACAAGATCACATGGGGCTCTTTGGCATCCCTATGCTCCAAGGATACCTCAGGGGTGACAGGACCAGGACAGAGCCCTAGCACAGACAGACACGGGTGCAATCAAATGGTAGAGCCCAGGCACCAGTGCTGGAGGGCCAAGAGGGCCTGTGTGTGCCAGGTTAGGGTCCACCTGCATGCGCTATTGGGAAACATCATCTCTTTGGGGAGAAATGGTCTCTGTTAATGTAGATATTTAAAGAATAACAAAGGCAGAAGAGAAAACCCAAGTGTGGAGTTTGGAGTTGTCTGCAAACTGTAGAATAAAGCAAAAACAAGTTATTAAAAAGTGAGCTCATATAGACAAATAGGTTAGAAAATTGATGTATTATCATAGCTTGATAGATATTTGCTTTTAAAATTATAATTGTAATAATCATAGTGCTTTGAATCATCAGTCCTTTGTAAAATCTTCACTCTCCTCAGACTAAAATACATTTTAGTACAAATGAAGGGATGGCATTTCATTTGTTTTAGAATATTTTCACAGATGTCATACATCTGGCAAAATGTAATTATATGTTAAATACATATCTCATTTCCACATTTAGCATATAAGAGGAAAATTATTTGAGGTCAAAATTCCTCTGGAAATTCCTTTAAATCAACTGTAAATTACAGCGTATGCATGTATTTGTGTACATAATCCTTTTAAGTAATAACTATGCCTCTCAAAGTGTTGAAAGTCACTGAGTTAGACCAAAAATTGAATGAAAGAGAAAACAACACACAGATAGGTAAGAAGCTGTCCAGTCCTCATCATAAATCGGGCATATTGGAGAAGCCACAAGTGTCCCTTCTTGCCTGCAGGGTTGACTCCATTAGGTTCCACTGCTAACCCCGGCAGACAATCCTAAATTATCTTCCTGTGAAGATTAACGAGATCGTAGACAACATCTTGCTAAAGATTGAGTTTTAATGCTGGTGCTTTAATTATCCTTTAGCGCTACAAAACCATGTGAGGCAAGGTATTAACATTTAAGTTTTTTTTAAAAGCATCAAGAATTCCAAAATCAGGTACAAAATCAAAAGGCAGATTTTCAAACAGAAACTTTGAAAAGTGGTTCTTTAATGCTTAAAGGATCTCACCCTTTTCCACAACAGAGAAGTGTCAAGAGAAGTGAGCAAGAAAAAATTTCTTTGGACAGAGCTTGGTGAAGAGACATCTTTGTGTTTAAAGGCAATCTTGAAACTCATGGGCACTGTGGTCTGGGATCTGAGTCCTGCTTAGGATGTGTGAGGCTCAGAAAGGTCTGGTTTTCTGTAGGACATCAGAGCTGGGAAGTGCTTCTAATCCTAGAAGGGACCTGGGCTCTCAGAAGGTACTGGAGGAAGGAGGCTTCATGTCCTGTGCACCAGAAATGGGTAAGTCCTGGGCTGACTGTGACATTTGGCATTTATTGTCCAAAGGGAGATGTGTTTGAATATGAGCATGTTTGCTATTGATGATTATGCATAAAAAATAGACAAGGCTGGGAGATAAGCCAGGCAATCAGAACCCTGTGGTCACTCTAGCCATGCAGAGAACCAGCCTGGCAATGGGGCCTGGACAGAGTCTGAGTGGGGTGGATGAACAAATAAAAGCAGTTGTGAAGGTTCAGGAGGGGTCGGCAGAAGCACACTATGCATTGCTCAGGGGGATCGCTGTCTGTGTGCCCGACAGGGTACCTCACAGGAGCCCATGAAGGTCTACACAGAATGAATCAGACTGAAACTTCCACCAGACCAGAGACCTCAAGCCAGCTGAAGACAGTATGTTACAATCTCTCCTGTCTCTTTTGTGTCCTTTCTTCCCTTTCCTCTCCCTTCCCCTCACCAACCCTGGAAAGATTAGAAACCCTGGAAAGAAGAGAGGGGAGAGAGAAGAGAAAATTTTCCCATCGTTTCCCATCAAAGTCTTCCAGCCTGAGCTGGGAAAGGAAATAATTTAATGTAGAATTGTATTTGAAGTTTTCTGTAATATTTTGAATTGATTATTCTAATTTAGACTGTTTGCAGCTTTTAGGGGAACACAGGATTATTATTGACCCTAAGAGAGGTGGTGGAAAGTCCTGGGCTAGCTGAAATTTTCATCCATTTACAGGAAGGATTAACTTATTGGAGAAAATTTAAGGGCTCAGGGAGACTGAATAATTGCATTTTAATATTATCCCATAAATTGTATATTCAGTGTACCTATTACTAGTGATTTTCTTGTGTTTCCATTCCTCCTATTAACAAATACTTACAAAATATTGTGTGAATCACTTTAAGAAATATAATTATGATATGACTTCAGCTTACTTAACACATGTTGTTTAAAGTTCAAAGCGTTTGTATAAATGCTTTCATTAATCTAATTCTTCTTTACAATAAAAACATAATCCCTCTGGCTTAATACAAAGAAAATTCCCCTTAAAACATTTTGAAGATATTAATAAGTCTGATATATATTAATGTCTCCCTCAGCTTCCTGCAAGTCAGTTTCGAATACTTTTTACATTTTACTTTCAGGCTTCAGACTGTGAAAAGGGGCTCAACTTGGTGAATAGAAAACTACCCTGCATTGAAAAGAACGCTGCTGGATCCACATCCTAGGTTCAGCTTTTATGAGCAGTGGGGCTCAGGGGAGGGGAGATTTACTAAATACATGATCCTGAGGAAGTATAAAAAGAATAGTAATAAAGAACAATGCCCTGAAGATTGTAAACACTGAAAGTTGTTGGCTGAGTTTTATCCTATCATTTAGGATTTTTTTTCGTCTTAAGTGACAGAATTGCGGCAGGAACCAGCTCAGAGCAGAAGTTGTCTGGGGCTGTTTCTGGGAGGCTGGGTGTTGGGGGTGGAGGTGGGGAAGGCAGGGACCTGAGTCCCAAGGACTGGAACGAAGCCAGTGCCTTTCTCTCCCTTCCTGGTGATCTCAGCTTGTCTGGTGTTGGTTTGGACTCCTTTGTTCCCACAGCAAAGTCTTCTCCACAAGGTTAAACAGCACCCGTCTCTCTCTCCACAAGGTTAAACAGCACCCGTCTCTCTCTCCAGCCTTTGTCTCTGGTGGCAAGGCTGATTTTACTCCAGCTTCAAACTTTAAAAATCTAGAGAGAGTCTCAGAAAGGCCTGGCTTGGTTTCCATGCCTATCCCGAATCTATCCTGGGGGAACAGACAGCTAAGATTGTCCAGGTTGGGCCACCTTCCTCCATGGGGTCAGAGGAAGGATGGGGTGCACGCTGCTGTAAAAACTAAAGTAGAGGTTCCTCTTCAAAGAGACTTTCCTCCCCATCTAACTAGGAATAAATAGTAGCTTCTCTTAGAAGCAAAATTTATTCAAAGACCTGTGCTAACATTCTTAAATATCTGCTAGCTGTAATAAAGAAATCAATGTACTTTATGTTCTTAACTCCCACAATTTAGCCTAAATATTTCCCCTGGCATGCTTACACTGGACCAAGCAAGCATTAGGTCATAGCCTGTTCCTCTTCCTTATTTGGAGGTGTTTTTACCTTTCTCAGCATTCCACAAGTTACTTCCGCCTTCCTTTGTTCTCCTCTGCCTTTGCCTCTTTTAAAAAGTTCTAAGTTGCTAGCCAATCGGGACAAATACAGAATCGGAGGTCCTATTGCAGCCAATAGAAAACGGACATAGCAGTAGGGTGGACGCGTCAGGTTATAAATGACCCTGTCTCCTTTGTTCGGTGTACTCTTATGGCAAAATTGCTGGCGAGTATACTCTTTCTGCAAAAAGTGAAAAAATGGCCTTGCTAAGAAAATTAAATTTATGTTCAAGTGCTATTTCTTTGCAACATCAGGGAACAAGCATTTCTAACACTGCTAAGAAAAAGGAGAAAAAAGCCTTGGAGTAGAATCAAACAGAAAGTTGGAGACTACTAGATTTCAATGTAAGTCCACTCAATAAGCCTCTGAGTGTCTACCTGAGGCAGGCAGATGCTGCTGCTTGCTAAGGATCCAAAGACAAGAAAGGCATGTGCATACCCCTTGCAGATGGCATGCATTCACTATGAGAAACAGAGCTTTCACCCAACAATCACCGCACACTGTGAGGAGCTAGTGTAGACATGTTAGAAAGCAGCACTGTGGCAGCTCTCAGAAGGTGTTGGTGGTCTCTGCCATGGGCAGGTAGGCACCAATGACCTCCTAAGATTCTTGATTGAGGCCTTGTAGGATGAGTAACAGTGTTCCAAAGACAGCAGTAGGAGTGGCTTCCAGACAAGGCGTGGAATAGCATGGCCTCAGGCAGAACCTGAATTGTCCCAAATTTTGGGATTAAAAGGAGTAAGTAGGAAAATAGAAGAGTCACACCTACTCATGGATAAATGGGCAGGTGTTAGCATGGAGGGTATTGCCGCCATGCTAAAGAGCTGGCAACTTGTTTCTGAGCATGGTTAAAAAATAAGCTGGTGATAGGACTATCGTGAAGAATAATAACAGATCCTCATAACTGTGGACTCTGGATAGGCATCGTGCTTTGTGTGTTTCACCTCTTGAACAGGTGCTGTTCCAGTTCTTTATTTATTTATTTTTGAGACAGAGTCTCACTCTGTTACCCAGGCTGGAGTGCAATGGCACAATCTCAGCTCACTGCACCTCCGCCTCCCCAGTTCAAGCGATTCTCCTGCTTCAGCCTCCCGAGTAGCTGGGACTACAAGCATGAACCACTACGCCCAGGTAATTTTTGTGTTTTTAGTAGAGATGGGGTTTCACCATGTTAGCCAGGATGGTCTCAATCTTTTGACCTTGTGATCCTCCCATCTCAGCCTCTCAAAGTGCTGGGATTATGGGCGTGAGCCACCGCGCCCGGCCGGTGCTGCTCTATTTCTTACAGTGCAGGTGAGAAAACTAGGCTTAGAAGATCTGTATGCTTGATCCAGGATCCCTCAGACAGTAAATGGCAGATCTGGAAAGTCACTTCACTACACTACACAGCCTCTTGAAAAAGGCGATGCATGTGGCAAACACAGAATATAGAGAAATACTGAAAATGAGGCATTATTACTTTCAAGCCAATGTCAGAAACAAATAGTTAACACACTGGACCTTTTAGAATATGTGAGCTCCCAATTTGCCCTGTGAAACTCATCAGCATTATTCTAAACTCCTCAAATGTCCATTTGAGTGGGGTGAGTCACAGTTTGTATTTGTTTTACTATGATTTCTGTGACCCATGTTTTGAATTTTAACATTTCTTCATCAGAGAATAACCAACAATGATTGCAGGGAAAGAACAAGTTCTGCTTTCTTACTAAAACTGGCTATTTCTTTTTTATTTATTCATTTATTTTTTTAAGATGGAGTCTCACTCTGTTACCCAGTCTTGAGTACAGTGGTGTGATCTCAGCTCACTGCAACCTCCACCTCTAGGGTTCAAGCGATTCTCCTACCCTAGCCTCCTGAGTAGCTGGGACTACAGGCTTGCGCCACCACACCCGGCTATTTTTTTTTGTTTTTTATTTTTTTGTATCTTTAGTGGAGACTGGATTTCACCATATTGGCCAGGCTGGTCTCAAACTCCTGACCTCAGGCAATCCACCCACCTCGGCCTCCCAAAGTGCCGGGATTACAGGCGTGAGCCACTGTGCTGATCAAGAACTGGCTATTTCTTAAATCATGCATGTGTATGTAATAACAGTTCATATTCATGGAGCACCTATTCCATGCTGAGCTCTTTATGGGTGGTCTGCATCTGAATTGCTAATTAATTGCTAAAGACTTCAGTGTGGTTGCACAGAAAAGGATTAAAGTACTCACACACAGAAAAACGGTTACTGATTATGACAGAGCTTTGTATCAGGCCTTGAAGAGAGCAGGAAAAGAAAAAAGAAAAACAAATGGGAGAAAGGGTACACCAGGATGAAATAAGCCACCTTAAAATCAGAAGTTGACTTCCAGAATCCATTTTTAATGTAAATTATTGATATTTTGAGCAGGTCCAATTTTGTAGCTATTTTGAGATTTTTATTTTTTTTTTCATTTCCATGATGGTAACCAAAGAAAGAAAATGTCTAAGTGCTGGCTTGACAGCATGGAGATTTTTTAAGGGTCCTCTTTGGTTTCTGACTTCTGAATTTTAAGTATCTATGGGAGCATTAATAATGAATCCATCTTTGCTGCTGACATCAATGGCAATGCCTGATCCTAAGGCACAGAACTTACCTTGGCCTTAGAACCCCAAAGAAAAATTCCATTTGTCTCTGGAATAAGAGGCACAATTACAGGGAGGAAAAAAAAAGAAAAAAAAAATGCCTGCCTGACTCCAGAAATTCTCTCCATGGAGAACTTTCATGATTAAGTTTCTAAACAAGCTTCACTGCAGATGTTCTGGGTATCTCTGGATTCATTTGTTCCACGTGTTTTCTGGGATGTGCTAATTTGTGAGAAAACACTCTCCTCCCTACCTTCTCTTAGCTACATGGTGTATATAACCCATGCCTTTGGAAGAATCAATTTTATACTTTGTGAAGGCTTCAAGACAGGATATTGGTGAAAAATGAGGCAGCAGAGGGGGTGGAGGGGATGTATTAGTCTCTTCTCATGCTGCTAATAAAGACATACTCAAGACTGGGTAATTTATAAAGAAAAAGAGGATAATGGACTCACAGTTCCACATGGCTGGAAAGGCCTCAGAATCATGGCAGAAGGTGAAAGGCATGTCTTACATGGCAGCAAGCAGGAGAAAGCGTGTGCAGGGGAACTCCTCTTTATAAAACTATATAGATCTCATGAGACTTATTCACTATCACAAAAACAGGGGAGTTTCTGGGCCAGAGTGAACGCTTTTATCTACCTCAACCTTTTACTTTAATAATACACACAGGAGATGGGAGAAATTGAGTACTGTCACTCAACTTAACTGTTTTCAGCTTCTTAAATTTTTGCCCAGGTTTCTCTCCTTAATTCCTTCAGTTCCAAAATAGATGAGGACCAAAGACAATATTTACAGCTAAGCTGCTCAGGTGCCTCAGTGAAAAGAAAGAAAACTCTCTTACCTCTGCCCACAGGGGCAGCCTATTTGTGGGTATAAAGTCTGGGCTGTCTAAGAAATGTGAACGGAAAATATCCTGGGCCCTTTCAAGCTGGGAACTGCTTAAGGCAAACCTGCCTCCCATTCTACTCAAAGTCACCCCTCTGCTCACAGAGATAGATGCGTATCTGATTGCCTCCTTTGGAAAAACTTATCAGAAACCCAAAATAATGCAACCATTTGTCTCTCACCTACCTGTGACCTGAAAGCTCTCAGTGTGGGAGGGGGAAGCTTGCTTTGAGTTGTCTCTGTCTTTCTGGATGGATCTAATGTACTTCTTACATATATTGATTGACATCTCATGTCTCCCTAGAATGTGTAAAGCCAAGCTGTACCCCAACCACCTTGGGCACATGTCATCAGGACTTCCTGAGGCTATCAGCAGCGTGTCTTCAACCTTGGCAAAATAAACTTTGTAAATTAACTGAGACCTGTCTCAGATTTTCTGGGTTCACAGAAATTTTATACAAAAGGAAAAAAGAAGTTTCCTTTAGTAAAAATCCTTGTTAAAACATCTCCCATTGCATCTTAAGATTGTATATTTTCCTTCCTATTATGTTGGTGAAACTTTTTGATGGCCCACATCCAATTGAGAGACAGGACTAGCTGGATTTCCTAGGCCGACTAAGAATCCCTAAGCCTAGCTGGGAAGGTGACCACTTCCACCTTTAAACATGGGGCTTGCAACTTAGCTCACACCTGACCAATCAGAGAGTAAAGAGAGTTCACTAAAATGCTAATTAGGCAAAAACAGGAGGTAGAGAAATAGCCAATCATCTATTGCGTGGGAGCACAGCGGGAGGGACAATGATCGGGATATAAACCAGGCATTCGAGCTGGCAACGGCAACCCCATTTGGGTTCCCTCCCTTTGTATGGGAGCTCTGTTTTCACTCTATTAAATCTTGGAACTGCACTCTTCTGGTCTGTGTTTGTTATGGCTGGAGCTGGGCTTTTGCTCGCCGTCCACCACTGCTGCTGGCCGCTGTTGCAGACCCGCCGCTGACTTCCATCCCTCCAGATCCAGCAGGGTGTCTGCTGTACTCCTGATCAAGTGAGGCACCCATTGCCCCTCTCCATCGGGCTAAAGGCTTGCCATTGCTCCTGCACAGTTAAGTGCCTGGGTTCGTCCTAATTGAGCTAAACACTAATTACTGGGTTCCATGGTTCTCTTCCATGACCCACTGCTTCTAATAGAGCTATAACACTCACCACATGGCCCAAGATTCCATTCCTTGGAATCTGTGAGGCCAAGAACTCCAGGTCAGAGAACACAAGGCTTGCCACCATCTTGGAAGCCACCCACCATCTTGGAAGCCACTGCCATCTTGGAAGCAGCCACCACCATCTTGGGAGCTCTGGGAGCAAGGACCCCTGTAACACATTCATCCTTGAATGACAAAATGTCTGGTCCAGCATGGTATTATAACATAAACATGGTGGGTGCATTTTCTTTTCCTTGAATTCCTTCACCATTTACCCACATTTTCATTCTAGCATTCTCGAATGGAGCATAATCAAAGTGAATGTCCGCATGTCCAGTAACCAGGCAACCTGAGGGGTGGAGAAGGATTGGGACTGCCAGTGGTCTGGGTAAGGAAGTTGCTCTGCTGCTTTGTCTTGTCTGTGTTTGGGGTTTCCCCTGCTATAGGGAGCAGCTGTCTGAATCTGGATTTTGGTCTGGTCTGGCATCCATGCTGGACAGCTCACATGGCCAAGTTCAGCCCCTTTCATTATTTCTTTCTGACCCAGTAGAGAGACGGCTGACCATTCTTTGCTGGCCCCTGCTGTAGGTCCTGGGGGCCCTACCTGGGACTTCCCATCACTGATCTTTTATAAGCTGGTCATCTTTGAATGAAAAGGGCTCCCCAGTGATGTGAGACACACCTGCCTGGTGGGCTGCCCTCTCCGTGTGCCCACTCTCATTCCTAGTCAAACACAGCAGTGGGTTCAGCCAAGATCTCTGTGCCAGCTGATGCTCTTCAAGTGCAGGTTTCTGGAAACCCTTCTCCAACTGGTTTCAACAAAACAGAAGAGTTCACTGATGAACAGAACTACAAAGCCCAAGAGTAGAACTGACTGACTAGACTCAGGGGCCGGAACAACGAATCCAGTCTCTTCCTCCTTCTCTGTATCTTTGGTAAATGTTAGATTTCATTTTCAGATTCCACTCACCATCTCAGGCTTCTATAATCTATATGCTTAGTGATACCTGAGGAAAAAATGTAGTATCTTTATCTGGTAATTTCTTAGGAGTCCCAGAACTCATACTAATAATCAGCTCCACCTTATTGAAAATTCATAATAATCAGCTCAACCTATTCAAAATCCTAACACTTAACTGTGGCCACCATGGTCAGAGGGATGGAGTGAAGAGGCTTGGAGAAGCCCCACTCATGTGCCTCCTGGTTCCTAATGACAGCAGCAGGGAAGAGGGTGGGTTTCTGATGCTCTAACTGGTCAGAAGGAAAGCCTCATTAAAATCCCCAGGTTATAAAAATAACTAAATCAAAATAAAATTTGTTACTGTGAGCCCAACAAATGAGTTGGGACATGAACAACATCAACAATTGTCTGCCCCGATAGCCACTAATTACCTTTGGGTGAGGCAGCACCATTTTGCTGGAAGAGGTTCTGCCTCTTGTGGATATGGATGGTTCTCTATTATTGTTACCAGCACCTGAAGGTGATATGGCTCTGATTAGTGGAGGAACACCAGATTCTTCTTCTCAAGTCAAATTAGAAAAAAACTACAGGGACACACGTGGAGTAGTTTTAAGGAGCGGAGAGTTTAATAGGCAAGAAGGAAGGGAGAAGACAAAAGCAAGAAGCTCCCTCGTACAGAGACAGAGAGGAGGAGTCTCCAAACCCAAAAGAGGAAACCCCAAGTTGGGTGGATACCTGCCAGGTATATGTAGAGGCTGGAGGAGGCGGTGTCTGATTTGCATAGGGCTTAGGGGATAGGTTTGACCAGGCATGTCATTTACGTAGCCCTGGAAAAAACTGACCCTCCCACCCTAGCCTTTGAATATGCAAATACAGGCCGCCATGATGTTCCACACACGTGGGGATATGTGGGGGTGGCCATGTTGCCAGGAACATGTGGGGCAAGGGCAAGAAGGCAGCCAGAATCCCCATGTGTGGGTGGACCTAGTTTCTAATGGCTCTCATTTGCTTATCAAAGGCTGCCCACCTGGCTCTAACAGCTGGGGCTTTCCAGCTAGACAGGAAATGTCTTTAAAAATGAAAATTTCCCAAGTACCCCTTTTTATCTCTATCCGCCTAAAATAATTTCTTAATAACTCTTACCACACAAGCATCCTCCTTCTTTAAATATTTCCTTGTTTATTTTACTAGGGAAAAAGAGCTGGTGTTGTCACCATTGTTCAATTTAAAGACCTAATTGGAATTACTCAATTTTACACAATTTCTCAGAATGGGTATCAAATTCCCTGGGTCCATAATCCACATAAAAAGAGAGATTAGGGTGTTCGGCACCTTTCTTAATATGCAAAACTAAAATTCTGGATGCTACTAATAAGATAGTCCTTTCTTTTTCAGACTGTCGGAAACATTATAGCCAAACAAAGATTCTGGTTTATTTTTCTCAAGGAAAGTGGAACTGATGTTGGAATTGTGAGGAGATTTAGACATCATCAGAAACGATTCATGTCATGATGTTGGAAGTCTCCTTTCTTCTTTAGTTCTGACAATGCGATGTAAAAGAGTATATATTTTATTTAAATTTCTATCTTTATCCATATACAATTGATAAATAAAATTGTAGACATTTAAGGTGTACAACATGATGTTTGGAAATACATATGCATTGTGGAATAATTACCACAATCGAGCTATTTAACATATCTCATCTCACATAATTACCATTGTGTGTGTGTGTGTTTAGTGAGAGCATTTAATATTTCAATCCTTAGCAAATTTCTAGTATATAATACAGGATTATTACCTATAGTCACAATGCAGTACATAGATCTCCACAACTTATTTATCCTGCATAAGTGAGATTTTGTACCCTTTGACCAATATCTCCCTATTTTCCTTTCCCTGCGGGCCCTGGCAACCATCCTTATACTCTCTGCTTCTATGAAGGTAATTAGTTTTAATTCACCTCCTGGGGTAGCAGTTTCAGTAATCAAACACTCACATTCCTGCATTGATTAGCAAATGCCCAATTAGAAAGTCCACAGTCCAGAAGTTCTCACTAAAGCCTGTCAGCTGCCATTTTCTATGTCTGCTCAACACTGGAGGTCTCACTAGCTAGTGTAATTCATCTAGAAATGCTATTTCCTTGGAAAGTGTAGTGGTGTGTTCTCTAGCAACATGGATGTAGAAAATGGGCTTTCATTGACGAGAAAGGCAGATGGAATAAACTGAATCAGTCACTCCTCACACCTGCAAAACAAGGTCTCACCATCTCATAAGCCCCATACTCTATACTTGTAGGGAGAGCACATGAAGTCAAACCCCTAAACCACCCTCCATCCAGTCACTGAGATGGCAAATTCAGGTTGCCAGATGCCAACTGTGATGGATTTCTTCTTTTAGAACATTGTCATAACTGTCCCATGGGGATCTTTTATGGCATGTGTTATGTGTTGAAGGACTCATGTGTTGAAGTCTTTGTTTTCTTTTTGTTGTTGTTGTTGTTGTTTGTTGTTGTTTGAGATGGAGTTTTGCTCTGTTCCCCAGGCTGGAGTGCAGTGAGGTGGTCTCTGCTCACTGCAACCTCTACCTCCCAGATTCAAGCAAGTCTCCGGCCTTAGCCTCCCAAGTAGCTGGGATTGCAGGCATGTGTCACCACACCTAACTAATTTTTGTATTCTTAGTAGAAACAGGGTTTCACCATGCTGGCCAGGCTAGTCTCGAACTCCTGACCTCAGGTGATCCACCCACCTTGGCCTCCCAAAATGCTGGGATTGGAGGCATGAGCCACCACGCCAGGCCTCATGTGTTGAAGTCTGAACCTCCAATGTGACTGTACTTGGATATAGGGTCCTTTAAAGAACTAATGAAGATTAACGGAGGTCCTAACAATGGAGCCTAATCCAGTTTGATTTGTGTTCCTAGAAGAGGAAGAGACATGAGAGATACGCACAGTGAAGAGACCAAGCTGGGACACAGTACGAAGGTGGCATCTGCACGCCAAGCAGAGGGACCTCAGAAGAAACTGAGCCAGCCAGCACCCCACCTTCGTCTTTGACCTCCAGCCTCCAGAACTATGAGATATACCTTTCTGTTGTTTAATCCATCCAGGCTGTGTCATTTTGTTATTGCAGCCTGAGAGACCATTACAGAATGTGTAGTTGGATCACTTACAAGGATAGAGGATCTGGGTATCGTACAGTTTACAGAATGTATGGACCGCTGTGTTCCTATTGATAATATGTATTAATTATCAAATACTCATGTGTATGGCAGAATTTGTCCTGAGGCTTTGTTTCCTCTTAATCTGATTGTGAAGTTGGAGAAAAGGCTAATCCCTTGCCCAGCTCAAACTCTGACAAATATGTAATATTATTTCAAAAATGGTTTCCCATGACCCAAAGGGCTGAGGCTACTTCATGGCATTTGCTCTTTGACTCACCTGGACAATCTCTAGAAATGCACCTGAACTCGCCTGATGAAGTGCCCAATATTTCCCATTGTTCTAGGGAGCTGGGTTTTTTTAGCATGGAAATGAGATGATAATGAAGCCTGAGGTCTTCCTGAAGTCATTTGGTTGGCTATCTTGGCTCTAATCAGTTTCAGCTGGTCTGGTTAAAAAGGGAACTTTTTATTGCAGGCATCCTTAAAGAGTAGCAGAGTTAGGATAGGGTAGAAATTCAGCTATGTCACATAGGCATTATACTAGGTAACACTAACACCAGGGAAGAAACAGTACCCTTCTCACGAGTGGGGCACTGTCACCAAGGAGATGGTGGGGTGGAGCTCTGCCTACCAACCAAACCGTACATCAAGACTTTATTCTCTTCTTATGCTCTAGAATTTCACAGTAGTATTGGAGATAGGACATTTCCTTAAAGAAAGATGGAAAGCTAAAACAGGTTGCTATTGATCCGCTGGATACAAACAGCTTGCATGTCTGCAAATTATTCTGGTTGACTTGTGCCCAGTCCTGTTCATACAAGGACTTCAAAGACTCACCGGTTCATTCTGGAAACACAGATATTTAAAAACCTCCCATGTTAGCCAGGCACAGCGGCTCTGTAATCCCAGCACTTTCGGAGGCCAAGGCAGGTGGATCACTGGAGGTCAGGGGTTTGAGACCAGCCTAGCCAACATGGTGAAACCCCATTTTTATAAAAAATAAAAATTAACCAGGCGTGATGGTGGGCGCCTATAATCTCACCTACTCGGGAGTCTGAGGCATGAGAATCGCTGAAACCTAGGAGGTAGCGGTTGCAGTGAGCCCAGATCATGCCATTGTGCTCCAGCCTGGGTGACAGAGCGAGACTCTGTCTCAAAACAGAAACAAAAACCACAACGAAAAAACCTCCCATGTTCTTAGGCTCTGGCTCTGTCTGGGACATCTGCTGTCCATAGAGTAACCAAGGGCTATTTCCCAGCCACTAATTCCAGAGGTTTCCAGAGGGTTTTGTTCCCTCCTTCTTTGAACACTGCAGTCCATCAGGGTTTCAAGTAGTCCTGGTTTCCCAAAGTCTTGGTTGAAACCTGAAACACAGGACATTTGACCAAAAAAACAAAACAAAACAAACAAAAAGAAAAAAAGCCCCTATCCTAATGCCACAGAGACCCCAAAACAATTCACCAAGTGCATCAGGCCTCAGAGAATCAAATCAACTCTTTCAGTCTCTGCCAATGGCCATTCTCTCCATAAGTCTCGGGCAAAATTCCCGGTGGGAGGCAAATGAAGCCGTGTCTACACATCTGCTGTCCTCCCTCCCACACACCCTCTCCACTTCCTTCCTCGGTAGGTCACAATCAAAACACCTATGCAAATTTAGTGATTCTTTATAATTTCTTATCCATTGAGCCTCTCATGCTGTGCTTTATCAGTTTTCCATGACCACGAGACGCTCGCAGAACAAGCTAGTGCTTGGGACAACTGAAGATGAAAAATAGATCATTGGAGGTTGTGATCTAGCAAGGAAGATTAGGTTTATACCTAGAAAAGTTAGAAAAGCAGGCGCCTAGAGAGCCAGGTGTCACCATTTTAAAATTAACTCCATCTTTAAACTCGCAACACACATTCCTTGCCAGTTATGACCCGTGGTCATAAGATGTTTACTGCAGAGGAAACCGCTTGGCAATGCCTGCAAGGACAAACTCCTACAACAGCAGAAAGTCCACATGTCCCAATATCACATAACAATATATGCTTTTAAGAAATGTACAATCATGCTTTCATGTACTTATAAACTAAAATGCCAAGGATAACTTTCTTTAAATGGCCAAAGTACTACATCTTGTCACATTGTCAGCCCACCCACACACAGAGATAGCTTAGCTTTTATGTAGATGAGACCCCTGTGTAAGAAGAGTTTAAAACAAAGACAGGGCATTCCTCCTCTTGCTTTCTGAGGACACCCTACTCTGAATCTGAAGAATTTTCAATAAATGATCTCTTCTCACTACACTCTACAACTCACCTTGAATCCCTTTCTGTGGGAGGTCCAGGAACCCTCTCTTGAGGTCTGGATCATAGGGACCCCTTTTTCCAGCAACACAAACATTGACAATATAAAAATAAAGAACATGTTTATCTATGATATCAATGTCTGTATCTGTAAGTATACCTAGCTCAAAATCTGTCTCTTTATTTAGTTTTCTAACTATATGTCTATCTGTATCATAGACATATTAGAAATCATAATTTCTAACATATTGTTGTAGGAGGTCATAACAGAACCTATTATAAAGTGACAGTCTCTTGCTCCTATTTTCTATTATTTCCCATTCAGTCCAGGTAAGTCTTTTTGGGGGACCCTCCCCCACACCCGCTGGAACAGTTACTCTGGCACAGCCGCTCCAGCCTGGATCTCATTTTTGCTTCTCCTGGACTTCTCACTGTGCAGATGTTAGACTCACACTCTCCTCTGGCCTCCTGCTCCTGCTCTGAAAGTGAGCAGTTGTCCCTCTGGGTGGCATTTGAAGTCAAAGCTGGGTCTCTTGACAGTGCCCACCCCTGGTATTCCCACTGCAGGAGGGAGGCCTCTTCTGTTAACAGTGACAGTTATTACAGAACAATGCCTGGAGAGATGATAACTTAGAGCAATTTCATTGTCTTTCCCCTTGACGACTCAGCTCCCACGCTAGAGCAGGTGAGGCAGTGCTTAGGAATAACAAAACAAAATCGCAAAGCCAGGACTTCCTTGAGTTTACTTTGCTTTCTCACTAGATTTTAATTATTATTATTATTATTATTATTATTATTTTGAGATGGAGTTTCACTCTCGTCACCCAGGCTGGAGTGCAATGACGGGATCTCAGCTCACTGCAACCTCTGCCTCCCGGGACCAAGCTATTCTGCCTCAGCCTCCTGAGTAGCTGGGATTACAGGCACCCGCCACCAAGCCTGGCTCATTTTTGTATTTTTAGTAGAGACAGGGTTTCACCATGTTGGCCAGGCTGGTCTCGAACTCCTGACCTCAGGTGATCCGCGTGCCTCAGCCTCCCAAAGTGCTGGGATTACAGGTGTGACCCACGGTGCCCGGCCTCTGACTAGCTTTTTGGAAAATTTCATAGAATGATCCAGGGTTCCAGATTCAATTTACTTTAAGGTGAAATAAGTGGGCTGGTTAGCAAGTGGTCAGCTTTTCTTTGGTGTGAGGATAAAAAGAGGGTGGCTACTTTCTATGGCTTTCCAAACAGTCTCTGTTTCACTTAGTCCAAAAACACGTAATGTTCATATAACAAAGAAATGATACATATTTGAGGTGATGATATACTAAGTTGCCTAATTGGATCATTCCGCCATGTATACAGGTATCAAAACATCACATTTTGTTCTATAAATATATACAGTTACTATTTGTGAATTTAAAATCAAACTATAAAAAATACATTCTACTAATGTTCTAAGATGACTTCTGAGACATTTAGCGTGTATTGATTACTTATACTATGTCTCTCACTGCTTCTACTCATTGAAGAGGTTTATATTGTAAGTAAACATAATTCTTATCATATTCATTTTACAGATAAGGAAACTAAAGTGCAGAATAAATATTTGTCCAAATCTGCACGAGAAAGAGGTTCAACACAGGGCTAGCACCCAGGGATGTCTAGTTTTCAGGACCCACCCTCTCGCGTAGTACACTGCCCCTCCCTCCATTCACTGCAGTTAGGATTCAGGAGCAATAACTGGACACAGTCAAGCCAGTTTGCATCTTTACAGAAAATTCCACCCATTTCGATTAGTGAAGATTCACACGTTTAGCTATGATTTGGCTCCCAGAATTCCTCCAAGTCAGAATATAAACAGAGCTAGACATAGTTCAGACAGTTGTGTCATACCAAAAAAATTTTTAAAAGGATACAGAATCAATCAATCAAGTAGAAAATGAGACATTTTTCATTAAGCTAAAAATAATTAAGTCAATTATTTGGCACTAATGCAACTCTTAAGCCCCGCGGGTGGGAACTTTTGGTTCATAAAAAGTGTTTAGTTCAGATCTGAGCTGAAACAACTTTCAATCTCATTTTCAAGTAGAAAGATGGCAAGGGCCGAGGCGGGCGGATCACAAGGTCGGGAGATCTAGACCATCCTGGCTAACACGGTGAAACCCCGTCTCTACTAAAAATATAAAAAATTAGCCAGGCGTGGTGGCGTGCACCTGTAGTCCCAGCTACTCGGGAGGCTGAGGCAGGAGAATGGCGTGAACCCGGGAGGCGGAGCTTTCAGTGAGCCGACATTGCGCCACTGCACTCCAGCCTGGGTGACAGAGCAAGACTCCGTCTCAAAAAAAAAAAAAAAGAAAGAAAGAAAAAAAAAGAAAAGATGGCAAGGGCTCCTTTACACACCAATAAAATCAGAACAAATACGTATAAGCAACTAGGACAATCCTGGAATATTGTGGGCACCAAGTAAATATCGTGGATGCATCTTATGCAGCCAGACAGGATGATCCAATAATCAGACATCCGAAGGCTCCTGGAGTTTGATCCTCTGAATTCACTCTGCAATATGAAGTCCTGTTATTCTTGGCAACCGATCGTGCTTTTGAAAAAGTGTGTCCCAACTGAGATAACATTGAAATTTTCTGTTTAAAGACACCTCAAATGACTGTGCTCAGGAGTCAGTGTTCCCATCAATGGGTCTGAAGATATTCCTAAGCTCCAAGCCATAATAAATGGCATCTGAAATTATTTCAAGATTAATCATCCTGGGTAGACCTTGAGGGTTAGTCTGAAATTGTACATAACAACCCGGAAAAGCTGTGCATTGCCCAGCTAAAGTGTGGTCCCTGAAAGCCATCACCTGGGCCAGGTAGGCTGCTAGGCCACCCAGAGTAGAAAAATACAGAGCAGCCTACGGGCATATTTTCTTACCCAAGGCCAGTTTAGACAGAAGAGTCACTTGAATAATTGTCCACTTCGTTCGTTCTTCAATCCCAGAGGATACTTACTTTTGGAATATTCACTTTACTCCCCACATAGCCATATTTTTCTCACTTAACTCCATCTCTTCTTCTCTTTAAGGCCTGGTAGAAAATGGCCAAATTTTATAAAATGAGGCAGAAGTGCCTCTAACATTGCCCATATGTGGGAAGATGAAACCTAGGAAAGACAGCTTAGAAGGAGGGAGTCATGGTACCCACTGGGGTTCCTCAATGAGAACATTGTAGAAGGTGTAAATTGGCGGACTCAAGGCTGAATGCAGCCTATAGGTATATTTTCTTGGCCTACATGTCATTGCTTTTAAAATCACATTGGTTTTCAATAGCCAAAGTTCAGGGGGTTTTATATGCAGGGTCCTGGGTTTCAGGCTACTCTTTAAAAGTTTAGAAGATGTGGCAATGCTGGGCCTGTGTTTCTGCATAGCAGCAAAGGCCAGGAGCAGAGTAGCAGCTGCTTGCCTCAGAGGTGGCATTAGATCTTCAGGACACCGCAGTCCCCACCACTCCCAATTGCCTTAGCCTGGTTTCTGACACTCATTTATATCACTTGTTAGGCTGCTATGGGCATTGGAGTTTGTGTCTCCTAATTTAATACCTTTGGAAAACATTACTAAAAAACACATTTCCACAAATAGACTTGGCAGTATGGCAGAAATGCAAAAGTTAATCAGACCTACATCCTGCCCCCATATAAAAATAAAGTGCAGAAGAGCATATATAGTATGTTTCTATTTGGGCAAAAAGAAATCCCACATCTTCCCTCTCTCTATGCAATGCAAGTGCACAGTGCATAAATCACAAAGATCTCTTAGCATTGGATGCAGTAGATATATCTACACGATTTGAATTTTTTATCAAATGCTTATATTAATTTTTTAATAAGAGATCTAATTGTTATGATAGTTTCCAGAGATGGCTATCATAAATATTATTCCTCTTTCTACGCACATTACACTCAAACTGTTAAGAAAGGGAGTCAATTTCTCCTCCCTTTGTATCTGGGCTAGCAGTATAACTTACCTTGAACAAGAGAAGGTGGTAACGGGTCACTGTGATGATTCCAGTCACCGTCTATAAGAGGTCCAACAGCTTTTGCTTTCTCTCTGGGGAAAACCAGGCACTGTGTAAGAACTCCAGCCACTATGCGGCTGCCATGCCGTGAGGAAGCTCACACAAGCCATGTGGATAGGGATGACCCAAGTAACCAGGCCGCCAGTGACCACAGAGGCCTGAGGTGTGTGATCCCAGTTGAGTCACCACTATTTGTGACATCCCAGCCAAGGATCCAAACATCGTGGAGCAGAGAAAGCCCCTCTCATCCTAGCTTGTCTGCATTGCTGATACAAAAGTGGTGAGCAAATAAATGATTGCTTTAAGCTCCTAATTTGGAGTAGTTTATGATGGGGTGATAGATCCTTGAAACAATAATGAAGCAAACAGTTGGCATTCTAGAACACAAACAGTAGAAAACGGGTGTGCACAAGACAAGCTGGACACATAGAATCATATCATCTTTCTGACTGAGAAATATTGCAGGTGCAATAACATGCATCTGTCATCAAAGGGCATCTCAGGTAGGTCCAAGTTGAGCTTAGCAGCCTGTATTCAGTTGGGAGCCATTGAGTTATAGCAGGAGTGTCTCCCATACTTCATTGTGAAGTCTCTAAGACAAAACAAACCCCTCTGAGCTTTAGTTTCCACACAAATGGGTAATATTGCTATCTCACCCTTTCCAAAGGCTTGTTGAGAAAATGAAATAACATAACTGTGGCTGCAAGTGTTTTGTAACTTGGGAAGGGCATACAGATCTGGTGAGTTACTAGAGCGGAGTTAAAGAGAAACAACATTCAGGTACTGACTTCAAGCAAAGCCAGTTCATGAAAGGCAAAGTAGGAGATAAGACTGTGGACACAGTGGCCTGGTTAAGACCTTGGTTCTGTGACTTATGCACTGCTTGCCTTGCAGCAGGGTGCTTGGAAACTCTGTGCCTTATTTTGCTCATGGTGAGTGAGAATTGTAACACCCACATTACAGAGGCATTTTGTAGTATTAATGAGTTAACATGCAAATATGCTTAAAACAGTGCTTGGCACACATTGAGAGCTTAATAAATATGAGCCATTAATTTTATTATTATTGCTACTATAATTAGGACCTAGAACATCTTCATAGTTCTAATGTAGTTCTGTTTCTACAGCATACAGTTAATTCTTAACATTTCAGATGTGATACTGCATTTCATCCTACCATTATCTTTATGAGAAAGTTTCACTGAAATTCTCACTAGTCAGCCACTTATTTCTGCTTGAACTTTTTCTGAGATAGAAATGTCTATCTCAGAGAAGCCTCTAATTTTTTAGTTTATTTGCTTGAGATAAATACATAGGAGAGAAAGTATTGAGGCAATTGGTATGTTCACTTCCAAAGCAATTGTCAAATCACCCTCCATAAAGCCTACAGTAATTTTTTGACCTCCTAGTAATCCTGTTAGGTGCATACTTCAACATTTTCTGCCAGCAATGAAAACGCAAACTTTTAAAATATTTTTCAGTTTGATCAGTGAAAATAAGTAATTCGTAATTTTATGTTGATTCTTTTTGTTACTAATGCTGTTGAATTATTTCTCAAACGTTTAATTTTCACATTTTCTTTTATTCCTGCTGACTTGCTTTTTCAGGGTTTTCACACATGATCTGTCTATTGCGTTGTTTTATTATAACTAGATGTTTTTGCTGTTATTCTGTTTTACGATTGTGTGTGTGTTTGTGTGTTTGTGTGTGGCTGTTGTGTAAGGCAGTGTTTCAACTTTGTTTTTCATTATTGACCTCTCTCAGCCTGAGGAGACTTTTAAGACTATTTCCTAATCATTTCCCTCCCTCCATGAAATGTTTATGCTGCAGATGTATTGCATATCTGTTTGTATACTGCATCTAGGCTTGCATTATTTTGTGCTCCCTAACAACCCCACCAGCAAATTTTGCTCCTGTAAGGATGCTACCTCTGCTATTGAGACTGCATGGTGTTGAAGACAGAAAGGGCATGTTGAGCGGGGAACTTCATTTCTGCCTGATTCCTGCATGTCTGGGGGAGACAGTGCATCAGAGCCCCACTGTCCACAGGTTGTTTATTATGTTTGTCTTCCTTTGCATTTTTTTTCTGTTTGTTGTTTGTCAGTGAATCCTCTCCTGATCACATTGAATCCTGTTGGACTTTTTTGTACATGTCCTGCCCACTCTTGTGCCATGGAGACACCCCCCAGCATTCTATTTTCTTCGCCTTTTGATCTCTAGAGTAGCTGTTTTCAAATCGAGTCCCACCACTGCACATGGCTTCAGTGAAGTATGACCAACAGTCCCAAGAGACAATTTCCCCTTCAGGGTTCTCCAACAGTAAAATTCACCAGGCAAAGAGTGCCCCATTAATCTCTTCGTCATGTGTTGTTTTTAATTTTTACAAAATACACATAACAAAATTTACCATTTTAAGCACTTTATTTTATTATTATGTATGAGCCTGGGTCTCATTCTATCACTCAGGCTGGAGTTAAGTGGCACAATCTGGGCTCAATGCAGCTTCAGCCTCCCAGGCTCAAGCAAGCAATTCTCCCACCTCAACTTCCTGAGTAACTGGGACTACAGGCATGCACCACCACACCCGGCTAATTTTTGTATTTGTTTTGCAGAGATGGGGTTTCACCACCTTGCCCACACTGGACTTGAACTCTTGGGCTCAAACAATCCTCTCGCCTCAGCCTCCCAGAGTGTTGGGATTACAGGCATAAGCCACCATGCCTGGCCAAATTTAAGCATTTTAAAGTGTATGCTGCGATGGCATCAAATGCATTCATAATGTTGTGCAATCATTACTAGTATGTAGTTTCTAGAAATTTGTGTCACCCAAAGAAAAACCTCCTACCCATTAAGCCATCACTTCCTATTCCTTTCCTCCCTAGTCCTTAGCAATGACACATCTGTTTTCATCCCTGTGGATTTGCTTCTTCTGGATATTCCATATGATAAGAGTCTATTATCTAGAATATATATATATATATATATATTTTTTTTTTTTTTTTTTTTGAGACAGAGTCTTGCTCTGTTGCCCAGGCTGGAGTGCAGTGGCTCAGTCTCCACTCACTGCAAGCTCTGCCTCCCGGGTTCACACCATTCTCCTGCCTCAGCCTCCCAAGTAGCTGGGACTACAGGTGCCCACCACCACGCCCAGCTAATTTTTTGTATTTCTTAGTACAGATGGGGTTTCACTGTGTTTGCCAGGATGGTCTCGATCTCCTGATCTCGTGATCCACCCGCCTCGGCCTCCCAAAGTGCTGGGATTACAGGTGTGAGCCACCACACCCGGCCTATCTAGAATATATTTTAAAATTCCAACTCAGAAAAGACAAATACCAGTTTTTAAATTGACAAGGTAAATATACGTTTCTCCAAAGAAGATGTACAAATGACCAACAAATATATGAAAAGATTCTCCATGACATCACTCATTAGGAAAATGCAAATCAAAACCATATTGAGATATCACTTCACACACACTAGGATGGCCATGAAAAATTGAAAAGCAAAAGAAAGAAGGAAAGACAGGCAGAAAAGAAAAAAGAAAGAGGGAAAGAAAGAAGGAAAATGGCAAGTGATGGTGATGATATGGAGAAATTGGAGCCCTTATTCATTGCTAGTAAGAATGTAACATGGTGCAGCCTCTATAGAAACAGTTTGTTGGTTCCTCAATAAGCTAAACGTAGAGTTATCATATGGCCCAGCAATTCCACTCCTAGGTGGGTACCCAAAAAAATGAAAAACAGGGTTTCAAACAAAAACTCCTATGGCCCATCCGTCTTGCAGCTGACTTCCTCTCTTTTGAGTAAGGGATTGTTCCTGGGACCCTGGGTGCTGTAGAATCCTTGAGAAAATACTGGTAGTCCCAACTGCATTTGCCTAGTTTCTTTCCCTAGTTTTCTGTGTTAATGATGCTCTCACAAATATCACAAATATCATTGTGCCTATATGTTTTGTTACTTTTTATTTTGTTTGTTTTTGGGTTTTTTTGGTTGCTGTTTGTTTGTTTGTTTGTTTTTGCCAGGCTCTCAGTGGTGGGGCTGGGGAAGCCCAGGAGAAGGGGACTGAGCTGTGTGCGTGATAGAGCGAGATATCCTGCAATGAGAAGCTGCAGGGTCTGGATGCACAAGTGAGCAGGGCTAGAGTGTGATCATCTATCACGATCCAGGGACTGGCAGAGAAAACAGGTCCAGTGCTTTAGAGGATGGGCAGCTGCTGTAGCCTTTTCTGCTTAATGGGCAGGAAAATATAAACTCAAGAAACAATGGGCAGAGAAAAGCCCCAGAGGGTGAATGAATGTGTTCTTCTTCACTGAGTACAGTAAATCAGGATTTAAGATGCAAACCAGGCCATTGTGGGAACCCAAGATCAAATGCATTGTTTCATTAGACAAGATACGAGTGTCAAAAGACTTTCCTGTACACTTGAGCGATTTCATTCAGCACCCATTAAATAAAGACAAAGTTGGCTGAGAGGGTAGATGACAATAGTGACCACCTCAATCAATAGTAATTAAATGGTCTTTGATTTACTAATCTTTTTCTCATGTACCTAAAATCTAATTTCATTGGGAAAACTAAGTTAAAACTACTTTAATTCTACCTAAATAAACTAAACTAAAAGACAAATGCATTTATAGATAAAATGTAAGTCCTGGGGGAAAAAGAATAACAGTTATTTATTTTAGAAAGTTCCCTGCTTATTTCTGAGTGTTGAGTGGGAAAACATACCAAAGCTTAGGCATACAAAACCTGCTTTAGGATTAAAAGTTTCCTTGAAAATGTTCAGAATTTTATTCTTAACCATTAATTATGTAACAAGAGCAAAGTCAATTTAATCTCTTTAAGCAGCATAGAATAAGATCATTGCCAATGCCATGAGGAACCTTCCAGAGCAGTTCTGCCCCTTTGGAGGAAGCCAAGAAGGACCCAATCCATCATCACAGAGGCACATGGACTGAGGGCGTATAAGGGAGATTGGGCAAGGTTAGAACTTGCAAGTCCTTGTGGTCTATGGTGGGGAACTTGAGGTTGGCTCTGTATTGTGCGATATGTCATTGGAGAGTTCCCAGCATGGAAGCAATATGACTGGTTACTCCAGGCCTCAGTTTCCCCATCTGTAAAATAAAAGACTACGGTGAACTGTATTCATTACTTTCCATCTCTAACATCTGTAATTTCAGGGAGGAGGATGAACTGAATAAGAGCAACATAAAGAGAAAGTAACAGGCTTCATGAATCCAGAACTAAGTTTGCAGAATTGCAAAGAAAGGTGTGTGTGTGTGTGTACACATATACATATGCACATATACATATATACACATATGCACATACATGCATACATACATATTTGTCTCAGTAAGAACCTGCTTATTAAAATGTTTGTGCCTTTCAGAGGGTGAAGGGTTGGCAGAGGGAGGGGATCAGGAAAAATAACTAATGGGTACTAGGCTTAATACCTGGGCAATAAAATAATCTGTACAACAGACACCCATGACACAAGTTTACCTATGGAACAAACCTGCACTTGTACCCTGAACTTAAAAATAAAAAATAAAATGCTTGTGTAATAAATAAGAAACCATTAGCACATGCGCAAATCGCAAATAGCTTGGAATGTTCAGAAAATCTTAAGTTCAGAGAAAGGCACTGAAAGAAAGTAGTTACACTTCTCATATGGCCCTAAATCAGTAAATGTCAATTATTTTAGCCCCAGGACCCCTTTATACTGTTACATATTATTAATAACTCTAAAGGACTTTTATTTATTGAGGGTCCTATCCATCAATATTTATTATATTAGAAATTAAAACAGAAATGCCTTTGATGCCTGTTTTTAAAAATACTAAATACATTACATGGTAATATAAACAGCCTATTTTTATAGAAATAACTTATTCCAAAAAAGTGAGGGAGGAGAATGGAAGTATTTTGCATGTTTACTAATCTCTTCTTTGTACAACTTAATAGGAAACAGCTGTGTGTGTGTTCATTCTGTTGCAGTATCTTGTAGCCTCTGAGAAACTCCACTGCACACTCATGGGAGAAAGAGTAAAAGAGCAAATAGCATCATGGTGTGATTACTAAGAAGGTAGTTTCTGGCAATCATCAGGGATAGAGTATCAGCTTGGCGTCTTTAGTTCCAGAGTTATTGTGCCTTGCAAATTTCTTAACTTTCTATTCTAATTAAATTAACAAAACATGTTCAAAAATTTATCAGGATCACACGTTCAAATGTCTACAGAGGCCAGGGAGGAGGATTGCCCGAGTCCAGGAGCTCAAGATCAGCCTGAGTAACACAGGGAGACCCTGTCTCTACTAAAATCATTAAAATATTATCCAGGTGGGGTGGCATGCACCTGTGGTCGCAGCTACTCAGGAGGCTGAGGGGGATCAGCTTGAGCCTGGGAGGTCGAGGCTACAGTGAGCTGTGATTGCACCACTGCACTCCAGCTTGGGTGACAGCGGGATATCCTTTCTAAAAAAAAAAAAAAAAATCAACACCACAAGTGTCTACAATCACTCAGTAGATAACACACATGAGTGAAAGTACACAGTGCAGCAACATGGACCTCTAAGTAGGGGACACTGGTGAACTTGAACATTCATGCCGCCGAAAGGATGCCTGTTACTCAGCTCCCGTACATGTGCCCATGGGATATGTGAACTCAGTATTGCCTGTATTCCAGTATTTCAAAAGAAGCCGTGCATTTTTGAGTGTCTGTCTGTGTGTGTGGGCTTAGTATCTCTTATTTTTCATAAGTGAGAACAATGGGATAAAAATCATCAAATGATGATTTTTTTGCCTCCTAGGCTAAAGAGCATACATGTATTAATCGTTTGCCTCTTTTGTCTTTTTCTAATTGCAAAAGTAACCCATCTTTGTTGAGCCAAGGAATGGAGTCCCAAAGGCTGCGGGCAACATCTGCTCTCTACAGAGCTCTTCTCTGTGCTGATGCTTCAAAAGCCCACAGTAAGACACTACTGTGTTCTCTTTGTAAAGACCTGGAGTTATTTCTCAAACGTCTTTGTAGACAGCTGATGAAGTACAAAACAAACCCAGGCCTATTTGGAAGTAAGCAGGAATTAGCATATCAGCAGCTGTGGCATCTCTTCAGACACATAGCAACAGGGATGTCTGCTGAAAAAACCAAGGTAGAGAAAAGACCTTTGCAGAATCGTGAGTTCACTTCCAGCAGGCTAGAGCGGAAAAGAGGCCGTTGCTTCTCGTAGAAGTACTTTTGAGGAAGGAGAAATGGTGGTGGTTTTAATTAAAATAGAATCTTTGCTTATGGTTAAAAAACATGACACTGAGGTATTTTAAAAAGTTTTCCCTGCGAGGGAGGAACGTTTCTTCACTTTAATATTTTCTTTTTTTCCCTTGCTGCTCTAAGATAACTGTGCATTTTCACAGTCATATGTAGATTAGGATTAGTAAAAGCATCCTGTATTTTTTAAGGTCATCAGAATATAAGCCCAAACAAGAAGGGAAAATGTGAGAATTATTTTTTTTTTTCAGGGCTTTAATCCCAGCATTGGGAGCCCACTGAGGTGGTGTTTTAGAAACTCAGGGAGGACTGACCTCAGTGCCCATAATTAGAAATGAAATGCCACATTGCTGACTCTGTAGAGAAGCAAAGGATGCAATTATTTACACACCTAGGACAGATGTGTTTTCTCCTCTCAGCAGGCCAGGGAGAAATTCCCTGCAGAAAGATTTTTATCAATCAAAATTGTATGCCAGTCATGGATACAATGAAGATGGTAAGAGCAATATCTTTTTCTCTCTCTCTGAGTCTCGCTTTCTCTCCCTTCCATGTCCTGTTACAATTATTTCCCAACAGATAATCTTGTTACACGTTTCAGATCTCTGAGTCTTGCAGCCTGTTATTAAGGTTTCACAATGCTCAAGCTAACATTAAGTAATGGAGACTCAGAGAGCTGAGCTCCAAGATGGAGGAGCAGAACTGGACACTGCCAACAAGGCTTTGCTCTTACTATCAGCTTCCATGGAGTCAGACATAGGATGTCACTGGAGCCAAGAAAGGTCAAGACAGAGACCTGTAGCAGAGCACTCCAGGGAGCAGCCAAGGCCCTGGGGTGAGTGCGTAGAGGCAGGAGACGAGGAGGAAAATGAGATGAAGGCAAAGGTGCACATTGTGGAACATTTGGAAATCACAGATAAGGAGAAGGAAGAAAATAAAAACTGCCAGCTGTTCTAACAGTCAGAGACAGCCTCTGTTACGATTTGGATTCAAATCTTCTAGTCTTTTACTCTTTGCATTTTGGAGTCAAGAAAATAATTCTGTTGTAAACAATAGTTGATAACATGTTTGTTTTTTAATATCATGCATATCTTTTTCTATTAGTATTTTTCAGCAGTACCTTCTTTTTAGTGGCTGGCTAATATTACATTATATAAATGAGCTATGTTTTATATACACCAGGAACCATGAACTTAAATACTTCAATATCCAGACAGGTGATGGAAATGATTGAAGTAATGATTAAGTGTATATCAATAGAGTGATGGGTACTGGAATAAACAGGAAAATGCTTACACAGTCTAAGGAAAGCAGTTCATATTTTACCGTGGCCAATTTCTGTCATGTTAAGATGCAGTGTTTATGGATGTTCTGGTGTTTTGAGGCAAACCAACATTCCAGGATTTATTTTAAAAGCATATTTATAAATATTGGCAAGTAAATGAACTTTTAAAAAAAATCACTGAGTTGGCCACAGAAAAAATACCTCTAGGCTGTATTGTCCTCCTAGCTTCCAGTTTGCAACCTTGTATGCATTTAACTCAAATTTGACTCATTCATGAATTTTAGACATTTAGTTTGTTCCCAATTTTTATTTTAAGCAATGTAAAAAGAACCAAAATATGTGAATAAAATCTTAGGGTTAATATCGCAAATATAAGACAGCTAGATTAAAGGTTATATATTGTTCAAGTTTTTGAAACATATTGCAAAAGTGCCTTAGGAAAAGTTTCACTAATATACAATCTCCCCATGTTATGGTTTGGCTGTGTCCCCACCCAAATCTCATCTTGAATTGTATCTCCCATAATCCCCATGTGTCATGGGAGGGACCCAGTGCAAGGTAATTGATTAATGAGGGTGGGTTTTTCCCATGCTATTCCTGTAATAGTGAATAAGTCTCATGAGATCTGATGGTTTCATACATGGCAGTTCCCCTACACAGATTCTCTTGCCTGCTGCCATGTAGGACATGCCTTTGCTCCTCCTTTGCCTTGCACCATGATTGTGAATCTTCCCCAGCTATGTGGAACTGTGAGTCAATTAAACCTCTTTCCTTTATAAATTACTCAGTCTCGTGTATGTCTTTATTAGTGACATGAGAAAAGACTAATGCACCCCAGCAGTTTGTACTAATATCCAATGTACTTTTCAAGCTTGGATTATTAATATTCTGTGTGTAAAATTATATATCTAATTTAAAATATTATGAGTATAAATGTACCTGTAATGTGTTTTGTTATTGAAAATGTTGAGGTTTATTTTTCAGTTCTATTTCTTCTTTGGTAAAGAAGAAATACCTACTCACATTTTAAATTTTGTTTTGTTTGTTTCTTTTTTATTTCTAAGAGTTCTTTATATATTTAGGATATTATTGAAGGATTGCCATTCCACACCATATTTGAAAACATCTAAAATCCCATCTTAACACAGATTTAATATTTAACCATATGCACAAACTATTTCTCAAAATGATTTTCTTTTTATTGAAAATGTTCCAAGATTTGAAACACATGACATTTTATTCAAAAATTAAAGCCTGCAATTTGAGAATCAGGCCATCTGTAGATGATCAGAGATGCTCTTACATACAACATTGCTACTTGTGCAAAGTGAATATATCTCATTTCAGTGATAAGAAAAAACAAGGTCAGAGGGATAAAAAGGAAGCATGAGGAAAATAAAAAATCAGATTAAAATCTTACTTTCCCCAGGGAACAACTGAGCCTTCCTCACTTTGAAATTAGTGCGTGGAGCCCGATGACGTCATACACATGTCTGGTTTGGGGTGCCTGTCACTGAAGAGCTGTTGCTAAGTCATCTAAGAGTTTTGGGTAAATTCTTCCATCAGGACTCTGTCTGTGAGAGTTCATGATTCAGCCTCCTCGACTTCCCTGTACTTAATTAACACCTCTGGATCCCCGTGTGATTTCTGAAGGCAAGGTCCAAACACTCCCAGGCTCCCAGGCTCCCAGGCTCGGTGCATCTCATGCCTTGACTACCCAGGCTCTTTCTTATAGGAATTCACTCTCTATCTTTAGAAAAAACCCTTCCCAAACTTTAATTCAGACCCTCTTCCAAAGTGGAACCTGCAACACCAGGTATCATGGCACCACTCACTTTCATTTATTTCCTGTGCATTGGTGTTGATGTATAATATCATTATCACAAGGAGGGGATCTTTTAAGCAAGGCTGATGTAGACGTAACTACTCATCCTGAGATATCTTCACCCACCAGGTTAGACTCAACTAACATACTTGGATCCCGTAATTTTTGTCCTTAGAAGGATGTAGTCTCCCCAGTATTGCTTCTTTATTTTCTTGCCTGTATTTTCATACCATTTCTTACTAAGATGTCTTCCCCTAAACCTACTAATTTAATACAACCTATTTAAAATTATACTAGGATTCTTATATTACCACATACTAATGCCTCTAAAGCCCTTCAAACAAATAAAACATTTACTAATAACCTACCTTCACTAAGTAGATTTCCCTTCTGGTCTATATTATCCAACTTTGTACACCACCATTTCTCCATTTTACACTTAAGCAATATCCAACTAAATTTGATGTAGAAAGAATTGAGATCAACCTGTGAAACACAGAAAGGGCCATGCATGCATCTGAGGTTTCTGTGCCATGCTGTTTCATAGTTTTACTCCTTTGCTCACAGATTTCCTCTTTTTGGAAAATCTCTATATTTTCTGCCTGACATTCTTCATAATCTAACTTGGTTCTCATTGTTTCTGGAAGCTTTATCTGAACTCCAAGCTGAGCTAGGTACCCCCTTTCTAAGTCTGCATAGTACCCTTTATATAAACCTAATGTATGCGTCTGTCAATTTTTAGTTTCTGAATATTTTTTATGTAAACTATAAGCGTGCGGAAAGGTGTTGGGTGTCATGTATCCTTTATCTCCGTGTCCATCAAAGCCCATGGAACATAATAAATCTTGGGACTAAACCAAGGGGATTCATTAGGATCATTTTTGAAAGCTCCTTCAGCTCTGATATTTTATTCTACCTATCGGGTAAATGACCAGAGAAGGAACTATTATTCTTAGTTTAAGTTGTATATAATGTCAGGCTTCTGGCTCAAGCTTTATTCACAGTATAGTCAATAGAATCTTCTTATGATTTATTGAATCTGCTTAGCTCATGTGAACTTAATTCATCACTATAAGCCCAGAGAGCTCCGACCTTCCATCAGATTTGGGAATTGTGCCACCGTGGATGTATTGTTACTATTTTAGAATCTAATAACAAACATTTCTGCCTCCTATACAGTAGCCTCGGGCTGAAACAGAGGAACTCTATTTCTGGATTTTGTTGCCTGGAAAAACAGCCATTTCTATATTACTGGTTTGGGCTTTTGAGAACGAATTGGAAAGACATATTTTGGATTAGTCAGGGGGTTTATCACCAACTACCAATACACACTAAATTCATAGTAGTACCTGTAGCTTGGTTCTGGCAAATTTGTTCTGCCTTGTAACTGCAGATGTGGAGCAAGTGGCTTCTGGGTCTTTGTAGCAAGGGAAAAGAGAGAGAGATAAAAAAGTACATCAGCTTTTAAATACCTCATTCCAGAAGTGATAGGCATCACTTGCTTTCCCAGAGTGAGTCACATGACCCCCAGTTTAGCTGTGGGTGAATCTGAGAAATAAAAATCTCACTGATATATGTATGTTTCTATCTCTGCCACACATTTCCAGATATTGAGACATTATAAAACACATTCTAATTTTTTTTTTTTTTTGAGACAGGATCTTGCCCTATTGCCCAGGCTGAGTGCAATCATGTGATTATGGCTCACTGCAACCATTACCTCTTGGGCTCAAATAATCCTCCCGCCTCAGCCTCCTGAGTAGATGGAATCACAGGCATGCACCACCCTGCCAGGCTATTTTTTAATGTTTTTTTTTTTTTTGTAGAGACAGGGTCTTGCCATGTTGCTCAGGCTGGTCTTGAACTCCTGGGCTCAAGCAATCCTCCTGCCTTGGCCTCCCAAAGTGCTGGGATTACAGGTATGAGCCACCACACTCGGCAATCATATGGATTCTAACATCTCACCTAGAATAAACCTTGTGCCTAGAGAAGAAATCCCTTTCAGTCTTCTAGGTTCTAGAATCTAGAGTTTGAGAACTTGACTTTCCCTTATCTGTACAGTAGCCTCTCACTTCAGACACAGGAGTTTTTGCACTTCAAGTTGTCCTAGTATATTAATTATTTTGGGCACAGTAAAACAAAAAGGATGTTTGTATGAAGAAGCAGATTGAGATAGAGCTTGTGGTGAAGAAATATCCTCTTTCTTTGCTTATTTTAGGTCTTTTGACTGGATCGGTTCCTCTAATAGGCTTTTAATGACTGTTCCACCTGATATCTGGGTGTGAGTCCCTGTGCTCACTCCCTTAATTTCCTGGAAGACAAATCAATTAAGCCCCAGGCCTTACTGACCTTGCCTTGTTGTCTGTCTTATGCTGACAACTAGTATTTTATTAACACGCTTGGAGAGGGCTCACCCCAATTTGTTTCTCCAGATGTTTTGGTCATCCTACATCAGAATAAGACAAATTCTGCCTTCAAGCAGCCCCATAGTTTAATGCCAGATGATGTGAAGCCTTGTTTCAGATATCAAGGACTCCGCCCGGGGGAGGGGGCGACCTCTATTGCTGAGCTTCTCAGATTTATTTAGAATCGTGATCCTTAGTGACTGCAGGAAGCCTCATTTGTTGTTTAATACTCCGGGTTCATGATGAAGGTGCATACATTAACAGGTACCGAGGGTCATTGTGACCCAGGTGGAGGCTTCACAATGTCCTACAATGTCAGGGCAAGGAATTGGCCCATGCTGAACCAGTGCTGTGCTGAACTGTGCTCCTGTTGGAAAACAGAAACGTCCTCTCAGTGCATGTCGTCTCGGGATAAACCATGCCTGCTTTATTAATGTGTTTACTGAGCACCTGGTAAAGTGCATGGCACAGAAGTGGGGTTCAATAATGAATGTGTCCATGCATAAATGAAAGCCCCTATGATGAGAAGAAAAAAACATATTGGTTTTGCTTTTTTCTACCTTCTTAGATTTTAACAATTCAAAATACTCAAGAAATTTTAGTGGGGATGTCAACGCGTTGCTCCGAAACCAATAGGGAAACACCTCTAGTCTAAGCTGCACCATTTTCTAAGCACCCTCCGCCCCCACACCATTTCACAGACCTTGGCCAAAGTGAGACATTCCACAGGGGCTCGGGCAATGACAGCCTGCCCAACTGCCTGACTTTATCACCTTCTGGGGGAAGAAGTGCAAGGAACATCACATTCCGTCAGAACAGGGGCCAAACCGCCTCATCATGGGAATTTGTTATCAACATTTTTCCAGGCAGCAGACCATGCCCCTTCCTCTCTGAGAGCCCTCTCATCCAGGCCTATAATTGCCCCAGCCTGTAAGCAGCAGTGGGCATTAAGCTGGTCCCCCACCTCTGCCAGTCTTATGCTGGACATAGAACCTGCATTTGCTGTAGAGCCGCCAACTCTCTCTGTGTGTCTTTCTTTAACCCCCACCTTCCCTTCAAAGCCTAACAAACATCTTCCTCTGGCTGCCATGGGTCACTTAAAGGGGCCTTGTGCGTGTGTCTCCACTCACCATTTCTTGTTTTCCCAGAGACTGCACAATTCTTTCAACGGAGTTATTAAGAAGGTTTTTTCAGAGCCTGATTGCTTGGGTTTTTATGTTTATTCTGTAACTTCCTGGCTCAGTGTGAGACCTTGGATAATTTATTCAATCTCTCTGTGTCTTCGAGTACTCACACACAGAATGGGATTCATAATAACATTCATATTTCATTGGGGGATTAGTCACAAGCTGACTATATCTGCTGACTGAATCCTGGCCAGCTCCCACCAGGTGGCCGTGTCTACACAGCACTCTCTTTATGGTACTCTTCTCCTGGTTCCAGAAACTTCCCTGAGCCCTTGTCCCTTTAGAACTAGGGATGACAACAATGTTCCTTACTGCTGCTGTCCTCAGGATACTGCATTTTGGGTTTCCCTGTAATAGTCCTACCCACTGATCCTCATTATTTATGGATTCTGCATTTGCAAATTTGCTTACATGCTAAAATTTATTTGTAACCCCAAAATCACTATCTTTGAATAAGGTGAAACTCAGCCTTCTTGTTTAAGCTTTCATGCTGTACATAAGTATCTTTTTGTGGTCTATCAAATGCCACTTTTTTTTTCATTTTTATGCGTTATGTTGATGACTTTACTGTTATAAATGACACCCAAGCACACTGCTCAAGTGCTATTTAGTGTTCTCAGGCTCAAGAACGTTGTGATATGGCCTATAGAGATGTGTGTATTAGATCAGCTTCTTAAAGGCAGAAGTTACAGAGCTGTTGGCCATGTCTTCATTCTACAAGAGTCAATGATTCATATTACATAATGTATAATGTTATTAACATAATATCTGTGGCTTCAAAATAGGAATATGCATAAAACAGGTATATGTATTGATTGATGGAATGTTGGGACCAGTGGCTCCCAGAAACCTAACCCTGTATTTCTCCTGGAAGCAGTGGTTCAACATGCGCTAATTCATTATGATGACTTGATGGAATGCGCAATCTCAAATAATAAGAATTGACTGTAATACATTAAGTATTTTACAAATTATACCAAGTGTCTTTTGCATCCTTAAGAAACCCTGATTGGTAGAATCATTGTCTGTCTTTTATACATGTGGTTTAAGAAAATATGAAACACAGTCCCTGCCTCTCAGGCAGGCCACACAAAGCAATTCAGGGCCCCAGAACTACCCCAACTTCTGCACTGGGCTCAATGCTCTGCCTTCTTGCTTAGACAAGGGGAAGCTGCTGGAATCACATCTTTTCTGTACTGACTTGCCCACTGCTCTCCAGGGCCAGAGCCTGGCCGTAAAGCAAGTCTCACCTGTTCTGTACAGACCAAAGGCTCCATGAGAAAAGAAACCAATAATATTTCATTTCCAGCTCTAGCCCTAGGCAGGTGAAATCCTTCCAGCTGCAGGCAGCTGGAAATGCTGCCTGGCGCTCATTCAAACAACCTGGAACTGCATCGCCTTGCGTAAGAGAAGACTTGAGGCTTAGGGAGTCTCTCAGTATCACCAAGCCCTGTCATTAAGGTCATTGGGAAACTACAATCCAATCCAAGCAGAACTACACATGGCCCAGATCCTTCAGGAATGAAGGTTTGGGTCACTCTACCAGGTAAAAAAAACCACAATATGCTGAGGTTCTTGCTGAAGGCAAAGGGAATACAGAATGGGTAATGGCAGAAGCTAGTTATCTAGTGGTGAACGTGTGGCCAGTTGCAGAAACAGGGACGGTAAGACAAGGAGGACTGAAAATGTCCTCCTTATTTTGCTAAGACTATATTTGTGCAGGTATACACTTGCACTAAGAAAATTCTTCATTTTATTTCCATTCTTTTTCCTTTATCTTGTGACATAAGATTTGTTGACTCCATATCAACATTTAAGTGTTGTTAACTTTATGTAATAGCATTTAGGCTAAGGATTAATGCACCTCTGGTTGTACGAAGGATAGCTGTATTATTTTAGGCATAATTATGACCTTATCATCTTTATTTGGAGATATATATGGATTCAAGTTGACAAGGGGTAGACTTGTGATGGTTAATACTGGATGTCAACTTGATTGGATTAAAGGATATGAAGTATTGTTCCTGGGTGTATCTGTGAGGGTGTTGCCAAAGGAGATTAACATTTGAGTGAGTGGACTAGAAGAGGCAGACCCACCCTCAATCTGGGTGGGCACTATTCAATCAGCTGCCACTGCAGCTAGAATACAGCAGGCGGAAGAAGCTGAAAGGACTTGACTTGCTGAATCTTCCGGCCTTCATCTTTCTCCTGTGCTGGATGCTCCCTGCCCTTAAACATCAGAATCCAAGTTCTTTGGCTTTTAGGCTCTTGGACTTATATTAGTGGTTTGCCAGGGCTCTGGGGCCTTCAGCCACGACTGAAGGCTGCACTGTCGGCTTCCCTACTTTTGAGGTTTGGGACTCGGACTGATCCACTACTGGCTTCCTTGCTCCTTAACTTACAGATGGCCTGTGGTGGGATTTCACCTTGCGATTGCATGAGTCAATTTTCCTTAATAAACTTTTTTTCATATGTACATCTATCTATCTTATTAGTTCTTTCCCTCTAGAGAACCCTGACTGATACAACTTTGGTTATGGGATTGCTTTAATCTTTCTGGGTGATTTTAGCTTGCAGGAAGTCTTGGGAACTGCTGTGAAGATACTTGTCGGTTGCAGGTGTGACTCATCAGGCCACCTTATTCTAAGCTCCCTATTCTACCCACTTCCATTCCCCTCTCCTGCCTCCCACTCTGTAGTCTATCCTGGAGGGCCCTACATTCAACTGGCTGCTAACCTAACATCACTTCAGTTTTATCTGTGGCAAGCCCAGGCCACTGATCAAGCAGGATGAAAGCGTATTTCTAGTGAAGGAGACAAGATGAGAAATGGGCACAGTCCTGGCCCTGCTCAGAAGCACCTGATTTCATTGACCTGTGTCTAAAGCCGTTTACTTCAACCTTCTTTTAAATGCATCAGTACTCCCTTTAAAAAAATTCTTGTAGCCATTTTGACAAAGGTAATAAGATGATATCTCATTTTTTGTTTTCATTTGCATTTCCCTGATGATTATTATTAAAAAGACAGAAAATAACAGATATTGATGAAGATGCAGACAAAAGGGAATCCTTGTACACTGTTGGTCGGAGTGTAAATTAGTACAAACTCCACAAAAAACAGTATGAACATTTTTCAAAGAACTAAAAATAGAACTACCATTCCATCCAGCAATCCCACTACTAGGTATCTACCCAAAGGAAAATAAATCATTATATCAAATTATACATCATTATATCAAAAAGATACCTGCACACATATATTTGTTGCAAAACTATTCACAATGACAAAGATACAGAATCAACCTAAGTGTCCATCCAAGGGAAAATGGATAAAGAAAATGAAGCATATACACACAATGGAATGTTATTAAATTATGTCTTTTACAGCAAGATGGATGGAACTGGAGGTCATTATCTTAACTGAAACAAGCCAGAAACAGAACGTCAAATATTGCAGCTTCTCACTCATAAATGGGTGCTAAAAAATGTGCACAGTTGGACGTAAAGAATGATGGAAAATGGAAACTAGAAAGGATGAGGGGGTGGGAGGAGGGAAGATAATGAGAACTTGCTCAGTGGGTACAATGTGTGTTATTTGAGTGATGGATGCCTTAATCCCCTGACTTGACCACTATGAAGTCTATGCATGTAACAACATTGCACATGTACCCCATGAATTTATAAAAATAAAAAATTGTACACACCCTAATTGTGCCTTGAAATTATTATTATATTACCTAATCTTTATACCCATAACATTGGGAATAGATATCTTATGTTTATTGCCCTTACAGAAGTATACAACTAAGATCTATTTAAACATTAAATGCAAAACAAAACTGCACACCAATTTCAGTTCAATTTAAATGTGATAATAGTATTGCTTTTTCTGAAACTTGTCCACTGCTTGCAATATGATTGTGGTCGAGGCCATTATGCTTGTTTGCTATATTTAGTTCAGTTAGTCTAGAGCCCTGGGCATGCTTTAGTGACTCAACTCTCTTACAACCCCTTCTCTAATTTAACACAATGAAATATTAACCATATTATGTGCCAAGAGGCCACTGGAATATTACCCAGCACAAACATGTCATTTAATTTCTCATATCAAACTTTATCATCTTTTAATTAGTGTGAAGCATATAAAAATACTTCTTTTTTTTTTTTTTGAGACGGAGTCTTGCTCTGTCGCCCAGGCCGGACTGCGGACTGCAGTGGCGCGATCTCGGCTCACTGCAAGCTCCGCTTCCCGGGTTCACGCCCTTCTCCCGCCTCAGCCTCCTAAGTAGCTGGGACTACAGGCGCCCGCCACCGCGCCCGGCTAATTTTTTGTATTTTTAGTAGAGACGGGGTTTCACCTTGTTAGCCAGGATGGTCTCGATCTCCTGACCTCATGATCCACCCGCCTCGGCCTCCCAAAGTGCTGGGATTACAGGCGTGAGCCACTGCACCCGGCATAAAAATACTTCTTGATAACAGTTATGAAAACATACTCAATGTCCCATGCTAAAATGGGCTGGACTCAGTCAGATGGATGGTGTTGAACCAGACTGTAGGGGATACACTGAGATTTTTGCTGTGTCATCATAATGGAAACTCCCAAATAAAGCAATTTTTGCTTGCAGTCTTTAAAATGCAATTTGAGCTGGGCGCGGTGGCTCACGCCTGTAATCCCAGCACTTTGGGAGGCCAAGGCGGGCGGATCACCTGAGGTGGGGAGTTTGCGACCAGCCTGGCCAACATGGAGAAACCCAGTGTCTACTAAAAATACAAAATTATCTGGGTGTGTTGGTGCATGCCTGTAATCCCAGCTACCCGGGAGGCTGAGGCAGAAGAATCGCTTGAACCCGGGAGGCGGAGATTGCGGTGAGCCGAGATCACGACACTGCACTGTAGCCTGGGCAACAAGAGCGAAAATCTGTCTCAAAAAAAAAAAAAAAAAAAGCAGTTTGAAATATACTGCCTTATAAACATTTTCCAAAAATAACAGCATCTTCCTATTAGTGCCCCATGAAAAGCCCAAGACCTCTCTGAATTCTTGCCTCACTTTGCCTGTATGCCCCACATAACGCTTGTCATGTTTGGCCTCACGGACTTCAAATTCCAATAAAGACAAAGACGGGTCCATATTGCCCAGTGATTGAGAATGTGTGCCCCGGACCAGGCACTGTTGAATTCACATTCCTGCTCAGCTTCCTGCTAGTTACATGACCTTCCTCATGGGACCCAACCTATCTGTTTGCCTCACTTACCTCAAATGGTATTCGTAAGAGAACCCACCCTATGCCATTGTGGAGAGATTAAATAAAACAATTCAAGCAAAACACTTATCACAGTGTCTGGTAGATGTACATGTTCAATATGTGTTAGCAATGATAAACTATCATTTCAATCCCTCCTGAAGTGGCGTATAGCATCATTACTGCATAATTTTTCTAATTGATACCTAGCAAATTCGCACAAATTCAGTAGTTTAGAAAACATTTATGATCACACAGTGCTGTAGGTTACAAGTCTAAAGGGGGCTCCACTGGATCTGTCTCAGGGAATCAAAAGGCCAAAAGCAAAATGCTGATCAGTTACTTGGGCTCTGTTCTGGAGGCACTGGGGATGAATATGCTTGCAATCACATTCAGGCTCTTGGTTAAAATCCTGTCCTTGAAAACGCAGGACCAAGGTCCCTGTCTCTTTCTTGGCCATCAGCCAGGGACCACTCTCAATTTCTAAAGGCTGCTCACATTCTTTGGCCCCTCTTGGTCTTCAGAACAACAATGGGCACATCAAATCCCCCATGGGCTTGGAGTCACTGACTTCCTCTTCTGCTCTCAGCTAGAGAAAACTCTCTGCTTTTTAAGGGCTCGTGCAATTAGATTAGACCACCCAGATAATCTCCCTTTTGTTAAATATGGTAACAAATTTCATCCACATAGAAAAGGGAGGGGAGTATACAATCATCATCATCATCATCATCACGACAATAATAGTTAATAATTGCGTTAATGTTCTATTGCTTCATGGCAACCCACCATGCATGAAGCTCCAGTGCCAGGAACTGTTATAAGCAGTTAACTTATATTAAGGTGGGTATTACTATTATCATTTCATATCTAAGAAAAATGAGGTAGAGAGAGATTAAGAGCTTATCCAAAATCATCACGTTTACAGCCTTGTATATAGTAACAATTTCACAATGGCTTGATGAATTAATATTGGAATTCACTCCTACTTTAATTTGCATGCCAACAGTGACAATTCTCACAGTACCACAGGGCAATTAGAAAATCCTACTTCAAAATGTCTGCATATGGAAAGTTTGTTACCCTTGACAACTTTCTTCTCATAGGAAATACTTGCATTCAGGAGCTGACTGAGAGCCCGATATATGAATGTGGCTTGTGACGTGCTATTTGGAAAAGCACTTGTTCATGGAATGATAAAGAACTGGTTTCTGTTCTAATTCTGAAATTCATTCCAGGCCACATTTCCCCCTCAAATTCGCCTCCGGGGAAACAAGCTTCCTTGGTTACATCAGTGCAGCTACCACGACCCAGAAAAGCACCAATAGCAGTAGAAATTCCCCATTAATAACAGCAAAGCAACTTCCACATGATTCTCTGTGTTAATGAAACAACAGAGAAAAATGTTGATGCAGTTTTCTTAATGATAGACATTTGAATTAAGTAAAAAGTAAGTAAAATAAGAAAATTACAGGAATGCACATCAGTCATCTGATTTAACTGGTTGGAAATTTTTGGGATACAGATTCAGTCTGCAGTAAATGATAATGTTTATATGACAATATTCTTCACAAAAGCTAATACCCCAGTAGTCAATGATTAAAAATTCATCACTAAACTCTGTGTAAAACCTCTCCCTGCCACATGTCCTGAAAATTAACCAAAATGTGTTTACTTTCTTTCTAGTAGAGAGTTAGAGATTTTGAAAAGTGGATGTTCAAAGGTATTTCCTTTATTAGTAATAAAAGTTTTGCACTATTTATTATACATATCAATTCCTATCAATAAATCTCCTTTATAGAGTGTTCACACTTACTGTTCAATTATTTATAGGTTTTGGACTTGGGTAATATACTTCTATTTGCTTTTAATTTCCTCATTTTATCTTGCAAATGGTGCCGCACTTCGTTATGCATGATTTGGTATTAAATTATGTAGAGGTGCCATATTGCCACGGAACGCCTGCATTTGATGAGGGTATTAAAATAGTAACAATGTAAATCACCATAGCAACAAAAACATAAATTCATACCCCATTTCATATTCTGTGTTAAAAATCCTATAGCTCTTGCAAATTCAGGTAAAATGTAACTCAAACCCAGCCACTGAATCATTCCGGACCCAGAGATACATCAACTTTAAAGAGCATTGAATCTTTGGAATAGCTCATACCAAATAGCATAAATCACTTTTTAAATAATTTCAGACTCCCAGAACAGCCTAAAAATTAGTACAGAGAGTTCCAAAATATTCTTCATCCAATTTCTCCTGATGTTACTTACATAACCATATTCGATGCTTAGGATCAGGAAATTTACATTGACGCAATACTATTATATCAGCAAACTTTATCAAAATTTCACAAGTTTACTTTCCCTCCCACACCAGCTTTTTTTTTCTGGTTCAGGATCCATTTTGGACTAAGTTTATGATATTTCCCTAGTCTCATCCAATCTGTGATCGTTCCACACACTGCTTTATCTTTCATGACCTTCCACTATTGAAGAATACTGGTCAATTGTTTTGAAGAATGGCCCTCAATTTGCATTTTTCCCATGTCCTGTTTATTTTGATATAAATCCACATAACAGAGGCTGTGCCATTCTGAGTGCATCATACCAGGTGGTGCAGGGGCATTGATTTTTTTTTTTTTTTTTGGATGGAGTCTCGCTCTGTCACCCAGGCTGGAGTGCAGTGGCGTGATCCCAGCTCACTGCAACCTCCATCTCCCGGGTTCAGGCAATGCTCCTGCCTGAGCCTCCCAAGTAGCTGGGATTACAGGCACCCACCACCATGCCCAGCTCATTTTTGTATTTTTAGTAGAGACGAGGTTTCACCATGTTGGCCAGGCTGGTCTCAAACTCCTGAACTCAAGTGATCCGCCCCCCTTGGCCTTCCAAAGTGCTGGGATTACAGGCATGAGCCACCGTGCCCAGCCAATATTTTGTTTTATTAGTGATGTTAAGTTGTATTGCTTAAAGTGGTATCTACTTAGTGTCTTCATTTGAAATTACTGGCCTCTCTTTGTAATGAGTAAGTGTCTGTAGACAGATACTTTGACCCTTGGCAAATACTACGTTTCTCTTAAAACTTTTGACTTTAAAAGTCAAAAGTATACTGACATTAGCCAATAATTTTATTACTGTAGAATTGGTCTCAAGATGATTTCCTATTTCACATATTTTTTCTGCATTTTCATGGTGATTCTACTCCTTAAAAAGCTATATTTTCTCCACTATTGATTTATTGATTAACATCAATATCATATTTTCTCTTGAGTTATTCAATACTACCACACTTTGTTGTTCAAATTGTTCCAGCTTCAAATATCTTGATCTCCTCCAATTTGGTTTCTATGACCTTTCAATAGGCCTTCATCACGGTTGAGTTTTTTCTTATTTTTGAGCACCCTAAGATGCTCTAGGCTTATCCAGTAATTCCTCTGTCTCAGCCCAATAATCACCTTTTTTTTTTCCAGGAAACTCTGATTTATGTTATTGGAATATGGTATTAGAGACCAAGATCTGGGAAACAGGAGGTCTCATTGTTACTGGGGTGCCATTGCTTAGGCCCTTTTAAAAGACAGAGCTAGAGAATATATGTGTGTGTATTAAGTTGTGTGTACATGCATCTTTATTTATGTATCTATTCATCTGCACATGGGTGTGTGTTTGTGTGTATGGGTGTGAGTTAATACAATTGCCTCTAGGTGTAGGTGAGGAATTGGATCCAAGACTGCTGTATATACTAAATTTTCACATACTCAAGTCCTGCAATTGGCTCCATGAAGCATACATATAGGAAATGTCAGCCCTCCGTATACCTCAGTTTCACATCCCATGAATGTTGTTTTTATCTTTGGTTGAAAAAATTCTGCATATAAGTGAACCCACACAGGTCAAACCCATGTTGTTCAAGGGGCAATTTCTCTAATACTTCACATTCTGATCTAACATGCCTGGGTTCACTCTAGCCTTCTCCACTTCCATATGTGTAGTTTTCCTCCATTGTTGAGAAACCTGGCTCTACCATATATTTTACATGTGTGTTCAATCCTAGTATACATACAAAGTAGTTTCAGAATTCATAGAAAGTAGTTTTCAGAATTGCTAACTTATAACTTTGTGAGAAACAAATGTGCTACTATATGAAAACATCAGTGTACAGTTCTTTTAGTCTTCAGCCTTTTAGCGTACTGCCAAAATGCTGTTTTCCAGACTTGCTTAAGTTAGTTCTTTGCGTTCTCACTCTCAGTAGGTTGATGTTTTTCATTTGTAATATGGATGTCTCTATGTACTGTTTGCATTCCTTTCTTTCTGCCCTCCCCCACCCACCACACGCATTTTGGTTGATTTTATTTATTTATTTAGGAAGTATGTAAAACATTACCATGATTCCACAAGGCAGCAATTAAAAAACAGTGTACTCAGAGGAATGCCACTCCTCCTGATACCTGCAATCTCATCCTCATCCTCGATTCATCACGTTCTCTTTCTACCCTCACCCTGCAGGCAACCTCATTTATTTCGAGTTGTTCCTTCCTGTAGTTCTTTTGTACAAATGACTACATTCATGCATATTTTCTTATATCCACTTCTCACATGATGGTAGTATACTACAGATGATCTTTTATGCTTTGCTCTCCTATTTAATTTGTAGCTCTGAATCATGCTTATTTCCAAAAATAGGTGACATTTATTTCACTGTATGAGATTTTATTGCAAGCTACACATATAACGAAAATATTTCAGGTGGATCAATTCATTTTCTTCTATGGCTTTCTTAAATCACATCAAACACCTTTAGAGAAACAACATATAGATTTGTTTAAATATGCTAGTTCTCTCTGTTCTCATCCCTATGTATTTCCACATTATAGAAAAACATACTTTTTCTCCTACAGTTTGAAAATATTATTTCATGGCAAGCCAAAATTTTAACATCTTTTCTAGAGCAAACCTAATAGCCATCTTGTAGGTAAATATCTAAGAAGGCCGTGTCTTTCTGTTTCTATAAAGTAAAATAAATTCCCTAAGTGCTTCAGCACATTTTAAAGAAACAGAAAAATAGACTGACACTTACATTTTGAAAACCTCATATTATAGGTAGGCAAAACACATCCCTACGTATCAGTGTGCATGGAACATACTGGATATTTAGCATAAAATCTTTTTATTTTGGGGGAGAGTTTATAGATAGAATGGGATTTGCCAAGATTTACATTTGCACTCTTGCCCAAATATGTAGTTAAGTTAGGAAATTCTAGTTTGCATCTGAACATAATGCATGTGTGTATGTATGTATGTAATACATATATTTAATATCTTTCACAGTTTTTAAAAAATCTTTGTGGAATCAAAGAGACATCTGAGCTTCCACTGTTCAAAGCAATATACCTAAGAGCTAAGGGGAACAGTTTTTTTGCCTTTGGGATTGGCCACATCTCTTGACGTAGCTTAGAAAGCATGACCCTTGATAAGAGCTGACAGAATCAGCTCTATAGGTGACGGCTCATACGTCTGCCATCAGAATCCCCTGTTTGTTTGCCCATAAGCCATTTTAGTCTCAACCGTTGGATTGAGATATGGAACATTAGTCAGTTTCTTAGACAGGGTAAGGGAACCATACAACCAGGTATGTTCATTTGCGACATCTTCCGGGCTTATTCAGTAGCCACTATCTTCAATTGGGCATTGGTGTCTTTTGAGGAGATGAGAAAATGTGATTGATTTACAAGTGCTTGCCTGTCCCATCCAAGACTTGTGAGATTTAGTCTCCATATATGGGATCACGTCCTCTTTTCTACAATGCCCATATCCAATCCTTCTCTGCATAACGTACAGGATGCTTTGTTTTGGTGACTTAACCTTCCTATCTATTTTTATGTGTGTACCATTGAAATAGCACCTTTTTAAAACATTATTTTTTCAGTTATGGCTGGGCCATGATGGCATTAGTATCACACTCATTCTCATTTTTATGGTCTGAACTTTTACAAAACATGGGCACAATAGTCACAATGTTAAAAAAATAAGTAAGCTCTATTTCTATAAAAAGCACAGTAGTTAATCCACAGGTAAAGTTACAGAGAACCATTAGGGCTGATGACTTCGGTGCACTAAAGTTGCATCACAGGGAGAGAGGGAAATGGAATAATGAATGATCCCTTAGTCTGAACCTCAGATGATGTTTGCCAGCATCCAAGGTGGTCGGGGAAAGAAGAGAGACAGCCACGGCAGAGGTAGATAAGCCATGCTGGGACCCTTTGACTCTCAAAACAGCATTGTTCAGCACCCGTTTGGAGGCTACCATATGAGTCTTATACTGTCCTCTAAAGTCTTTTACACCCATTGCTAAAATTCAGGACTGTTCACAGTCTGAGGAGGATTTCCAAGGGTGCAGAACTTTCAATGCCACACCTGGATGGCTGGCCATCCTAGAACGGGATTTTTAAAGCACCTTGGAAGAGATTTGCAAACACGGGGGCAGAGTTGACACACTCCTTCCACTTTCCTTTTCTTCTTTTTTCCTGTATATAATATCCTTCTTAGTATTCCCTCTGCTTCAGTCTCTTTCTTTCTCAGACTCTGCTGTGAAGTGCTAGCTCAAGTGTTGACATCGCTACTTCATCTGCTGTGGATGAGTCTTGGACAAATTTTTTACTATTTTACTAGCCTTCATGAGCCATGGTCTCCTCATTATACAATAGGGATTAAAATTCAGTACATTATAAGTTTATTGTTAGGAGAAAATGAGCAAATAAATATAAAATGCCTGACATCATAAGGGATCAATAATTCTTAGCTATGATGTATTTTTATTATTGCTTGTTTTTCTAATTCAAAAGAAAATTCACTATTTAACAAAGTTATTAATGTATAAATGTATAATATATGTATGGTGGAATCTCAAGTGTATTTCTAAATATACTTGTATATATTATGTATATATTTATATATACTTATGTATAAACATATACATGTACATATTTATATATACTTATGTATAAACATATACGTGTACGTATACATAATACACATATGCATATGTGCATATTTACATATATACACATATACATGCACACATGCACACACACGTATAATACACACATGCACATATATGTACATACATATATACACATACATACACATACACATACATATATACATGCATATATACACATGCATACACATATGCACATGCATATACTCACACACATACATACTTATGTGCACATACACACATATATACACATATATACATATACACACATGCATACATACAAATATATACATATACATACATATATACACACACATACATATATATACACACCCACACACAAACACCCCAGAAGGCTCCTTATTGCCCTTTTAAATACTCAGCACTCTATGTTCTCAGCATTCACTTCTATTGCCATGTTTTTGATTGTTATCTGTTCTTAAATCTCTTATTAATGAAATAATACAAATCCTGGCCTTTGGGTGACATCTTTTGTACATTATTTCTGTGTGATCCATCCAAGTTGCTATGTGTATATCAATGACACATTTTTTACTTTTTACTTTTAATTCCAGCATGGTATTCCATATAAATACACCACAATATTTTTTATCCATTCAACTTTAAGTGGTGATTTAGATTATTTCTAGGTTTAGGTGTTATGAATATGGCTGCTAGAAACATGTTTTGTGCACGCGTTTTGATGGGCATATGCGCCCATTTTCCTTGGCAGATAACCAGGAGTAGTACTGATGAATAGATACTAACTGCAGGTGTTAGATAATATTGCTTTGCCATTAGTTAATAGTGCCACAGAGTTTTCCAAAGTGGTGGTACCTCATTTACTTGTTCTAGTCCTCATAAGAGTGTTGGTGAAATCATGTTCCTAACCTTCAGTTGCAGAGATCATTGTACCTAGCCCAATAGTCTATCTCTTAGCTTTTCACCTTTCCTTACTGACTGTCCCTCTGGATGCTGTCTGTGTAATAGAGAGGTCGAAAGGAGAGACCTTCCCATCCACCCTCACTGCCTCCTCTCAGTGATAATCCTGGCCATTGTGCTGCAGAAATTGACCCTTTCCCCATCACTTTATTTTGAACTTCTCTCTTATTTTTGCATCTCCATGACAGCCATTTTCTCTTCTTCTGCTTTGCTTCAAAGATCTAAATTTCTCCAAAAAAAAAGAGCAAAGGAAAATTCAGTGAAACCAACACGTATCTAGCTAGTTTCAAACATTCAGTTTTCCAAGTTTCTCCACTTTATACTTTTTCTTAATTAGAACTCTAACAACCCTGTGTCAGATCACTCTGAGTTTATTGCACTTGAGGAATTGACCACCCCTGGGTAGGTTTACGTTCCAGAAAGGGCGACTGCACACATCCAGCCTCTATAGTCACACGAAAACATAGCCCATGGGAATGAGAGCCAAGCTCACTCTTACCACCTCATCTACTCACAACAGTGCCGACAATTTGCTCTGCGAAAATGAAATGAAGGACCTGCTGTGCCTTCCTCTCAGAGATCAATCTAAGCATCTTCACAGGAGCATGGGGATGCAACTTGGGAAGAGATCAGTGTCAATAGGAAGTCAAAATCTCACACTCTGGTAGCTCAAAATTGCCTTTGTTTCTACTGCTCTAAACAAGTAAATGACTCTCTGGTTTTAGCCAGGCATAAAGAGACTGACTCATGTCATTCATCTAAACTCACAAAGAAGGTTGTTCTTATTTGCTTGGCTTCGTTCCCCAAGGGGAGCTTTGATGGGTGTGGGGCTGCATCCCAGGTAGAGAGAAGACTCTATCTCTGTTTTATGTAGTCGCCCTTGTGTCATTCTCCTATGGAACCAATAGGGGTGATTCCATAAAACTTCAGAACAGGCTTCAGGGAATTACTGACACAGGTTCCTGGGGATCCTCTGAGAATGAAAATATGAAAGAAAAACAAACTCTGTAAAATATTTTAAAGAGGTTTACTCTGAGCTGGTATGAGTGACCATGGCCCCAGGCATCACAATCTCAACGGAGGCAGTCACATTACAGTTTTGTTTTTATTTTTGGTTGTTTGTTTTTTAATGGAGTCTTGCTCTGTCACCCAGGCTAGAGTGTAGTGGCACAATCTCGGCTCGCTGCAACCACTGCCTCCTGGGTTCAAGCTAATCTCATCCCTCATCCTCAGCCTTCCAAGTAGCTGAGATTATAGGCGCGTGCCACCACCCCTGGCTAATTTTTGTATTTTTAGTAGAGAAGTGTTGGCCAGGCTGGTATCAAACTCCTGACCTCAGGTGATCTTCCCGCCTCAGACTCCCAAAGTGCTGGGATTACAGGTGTGAGCCACCATGCCATGACTGGATTACAGTATATTTTTTACATTTCAAGGAGGCAGGAGATACAGGCAAAGACATAAATCAATACCTGGAAGACACACATTTGTTCAGCCCCAAAAGGTGGGACAGTTTGAAGTGGGGAGTGGTTACAGGTTGTAGGTGGATTTAGAGATTCTTCAATTTGCAATGGGTCAAAGGAGTAAGGCTTTGTTTAGAAAGAGAGGTCTGAAAAGAAAAAGTGTTTTTTTGTTGTTGTTTGTTTTGTCTTTAAGACAAGCTCTGGCTCTGTCGCTCAGGCTGGAGTGTAGTGGTGTAATCACAGTTCATTGCGGACTCGACCTCCTGGGCTCAAGTAATCCTCCCACCTACGCCTCCCAAGTAGCTATAGGACTACAGGCCTGTGCCACCATGCCAAGCTAATTTTTGTATTTTTCGTCTTGTACTGTGTTGCTCACAATGGTCTCAAACTCCTGGGCTCAACCCATCCACTGCCGTGGCCTCCCAAAGTGGAAATGTTCTAAGATAAAAATGATGTATAGCAAGGCTGATGGTCTGCAGGCACAAATTAACTCTTACTTTGAATGGCCTTATGTCTTGTTTATAATTTGGTATCTTATTGCCACAAACAGTCTGTTTTTTCGGTCATATAATCTCTAATTTAACATTAACACTAGTCAGTTTTGCCTAAACTCCAAAACGGGATATAGAGAAGTGTGTCCGACCTTCCATCACATCATGATACAGGACTATGTTTTTCAGATTTCTCTGGGGTCCTCTTGGCCAAGACCTCTTGGTTAGTTTGGGGGCTTAGGATTTACTTTTAGTTTACAGAAACAATATGGACATATGAAGGTGGAGGACTGAGCCAGTCTGTTTAGCACCCATTAACTTTCTAAGGGTTCTACTTCTAAGATTTAAAAACAAACCAAACACAAACAGCATTGCTACGCCTCTCCCTTTTAAGCTTGGTCAGTCAAGGAAGACATTTTAAATCATGAGACAGTGATGAAAATGAGCTAAATTGCCTACATATTACATGTATTTAGGGTGAACAAATGTCAACACTGAGAAACACTGAAAGAGGAAAGACAAAAATAGACTTTCTTTTGCCAAAAGTAAACTTTCTGTAATTGGCAGGCTCCTGTCTTCTAATTCCATGAAGAGTGACCAAGGCATGGCTGTCTTGGAAGCACCTAAATAACATTACTGTAAGAAGCATGAGTGACTCTCCAACCAGGCATTGTCCAATAAGGTAGATGTTGAACACACTGGAAGTGATGGTTTGGAAATGATACCAGTTCAACTGAGAAACTGAATGAGTGACCCATGGCCCATGGCCGAGAATGTGCTCCTTAAGTACCAAGTGCCATAAATGCATCTGGGTCCACAGAGCAAGGCAGGCATGGGATGCTCAGGAAAGAAGCACAGGGTTTCTCTAAAGTTAGCTCAGGACTTAACTGTTCACAAGGAGGATGTGGTTAAGGCTTAAATGTCCAGAGAGAAGAGGATGATAGAGCACGCCTTGCACATAGCAACTGGCAGGATAGCCTTGTAGGAAGTCATCTCTCTGTGAGGCTGGACATCTGGATTCCATGAGAAACCTGTGCTCGCCTCCACCACACAGCACTTGCCTTTGCCAACAGAATACCCCATCCATAGGTCTCACAACTGTCACTGCTCTGAAGCCACTCCACCTTGATGGTGACAAGGAGCTGAGGGGTTTTACAAGCCAAATAAGCATTATGGGGTAGGACCCCAAATCAGAGAGAGCCAGCTTGAACCCTGGGCTGCAGAAATTTTCAAAATAACTGGAGTTCTATGAAGTGAGTTTGAAGAGGAGGAATTGCCTTATGGAAAAACCTCCATCAACAATGCTAGTCGAATGCTGTGTGTGGTCATCACACTAGAAACTCCAAGGAGACTCTCTCCTGGAATCCTGAGGTATTACTTATGATCCTCATAGCCACAAAACTCATTTTGTGAGTTCCTGCTCGTCCAGGAAGATGCTGGTACATCTACATCAATAAGGTAGACGCTGAACATCTACATCTATAAGGTAGATTGAATACCGGAAATGAGGCACTGGAAATGATACTAGTGCAATTGAGACACTGAATTTGTAACTTTAATTAAATAAAATTTAAATTTGAAAACTGACAGTATAAGTTTTATGGGAGGGGAATGAGACTCTCTCTCTCGATCAGAGGAGCGGGGTGAGCATACATGGCAGGAGGAGAGGTTGGAGCTGCCTTTGAGGATGACCCACCACAGTGGGATTCCCCTAAACACATGTTGATTGACTCTTCTCAAAACGTCCACAGATTGCATAATGCTCTTCCAGAAACTCACAAAAGCATATAACAAGAGAAAAGGTGAGTTCACTTTAGCTAGGAGGTGCTGACACCAGGTCTTTACTGTGCAGGTGAGGTAAGACATGTTCTGCTCATTCACCTCCTTTTCTCTCCTCTTATCCAATTTTATAGGAAGGGGACATGGAGAAGGAATGAGAAAGAGAAAAACTTACCATGCTTTCAATTTTAGCAGCAGTGTTCTAATTCAACAAGGGCCTGAAATGGAAAAAAAAGAAACATTAAATTGAATGAAAAGGCAGAATTTTGATATTATACTGCACAAGACTCCAATTACTACAATGAGATATTTTATGTAATAAAAAGAATCAGCAAGACTCTGAACTGTGCCTGTGATTTTATCCAAGAACAGAACAGAACAAGTCAAGAGATCTGGTTTTTGAATTAATTTTCAATTAGAATATAACTTACATATGGTGACATTTATTGTTTTGTTTGGTTCTACAAAATTTGACAAATTTGATATATTTTGCAGAACCATACATTAAAACAGCAAATTTCACCATATGTAAATTAACCACTTCTACAAAGACATGGGGTTAGTTTAATCCCTCCAAAACCTCCCTCATCCCCCGTAGTAATCTAACCCACACTCTACTCCACCTCCTGACAACCACGAATCTATTTCCTGTTCTGATAGTTTTGCCTTTTGCAGTGAAGTCACACAGTATTTGACCTTTTGAGTTTGGTTTATTTCACTTAGGAGTGTGTGTTTAATTGTCTATGTAGAAAATCCCAAGAAATGTACAAAAAAAAAAGATGAAAACTAATAAGTGAGTTCAGCAAGGTGGCAGAATACAAGATCACCATACATACAAGATCACCATACACAAATCAGTGTGGAATAAATTATCTCGGTCAGAGTTGGGCAAACTATGGCCTAGGGGAGCTGCTTATTTTTACAAATAGAGTTTTTATTAGAACAGAGCCACAGTCATTCATTTACATATTTTATAGGTTGCTTTGTTGTTACAAGAGCAGAGTTGAGTATTCGTAATAGAGACCATAACATATTTACTCTCTGGTTCTTTACGGAAAAAGTTTTCTAAACTTTTCTAGATAATAAGCATTTAGGCATTAGAATTAACTGGGAAATATAATACTTAACACAGGTTTTTGTAAAGATTCAATGACATAATATATGGGAAATGTAATTATAATGTAAACAACATATACGTGCCTATTAATGTAATTCAGCATATAGACTGCAGAAAGCTTATTTATCTATTGTTTTTAAAATATGGAATAAAAAAAACCATACTCTACCATAAAACCATACTTACAGAGCTACCAGATCTGCAAATTTAGAATTTTGTTCTGATTTTTTAAAATGGCACCAAGACAGTATCAATTTGATTTTAAAACTGTGTATAGTATTTTCCCATGCAAATTAAGTTTTCAAAACCTACTATTAAGTGACCGCTCTGTGATTTTAGTATACTTGCTCTGTCTTTTACATAAACAAACGGTTTTCATCTTTCTTCCATGGATCCTTCAATTCCACAGAGGTTCAATTATATGTAGGGAGTGACCTAGCAGTCCTGGGAATTAGAACATGGGCATCTTTGATAGGCCATTGTTTAGCCTACCATGGTGGACACTCCCAGGGTTGACTTGGAAATTCCTGGAGGTCTTTTTCCATCCTCTCCTGCCTTCTTTAGCTTATTTAAGGCTTAGTCGTTCATGGTCCCTAGGTGGCTGCCTCTGATTCAGGCACCATCATGTGGTCCCCAGAAAGCAGGACAGAATGTGAGCGCAGTTGAAGGTCTTTACCAAGTGTGACTACTTTCTATGTGTCAAGGAGAAAAATATTTCCAGTGCTTTAAGACGTCCCACCTGTCTCATTGTCTATAAATGGGTCATGTGCTTGTGCCTAGACCAATTACACAGGAGACAAATTTGTCATGAGTGGCTTAGGTTTGACTTCGTTTATCTCCTGGAGCTGGGAACATGGGCAGCCGTGTCGAATCAGGGTCCTTGTCATAGAAGGAAGAGGGAGAGTGCCTGTTGAAGAGACAATAAACAGTGAAAAGCACAGGAGGCCAATAGATTTGAAGACTTTTCAGCTCTAGTTTGCTGGCACTTGAGGTGAGAAAGGAAAAAGTAGAAAAATATCCTTTTTAAATAAACATAAATTAAGTCCAAAACTGACTTTGCCCTCAGAAACTACACTGCAGTTAAGAATAATTGCTAGGCCAGACACTGTGGCTCACATCTGCAGTCCCAGAACTTTGAGAGGCTAAAGTGGGTGAATCACTTGAACCCAGGAGTTTGAGACCAGCCTGGGTAACATAGCAAGACCCCATCTCTACAAAAATACCAAAATTAGCTGGGCGTAGTGGTACACACTAATAGTTCCGGCTACTGAGGAGGCTGCGGTGGGAGGATCACTTGAGCACAGGAGGTGGAGACTGCAGCGAGCAGAGATCGCACCACTGCACTCCAGCCTGGGCCACACAGTGAGACCCTATCTCAAAAAAAAAAAACAAAAAAACTGCTTTTTATGCGTTTTAAAACTGTACCCCTATTTTTCCTAGAGGTTAATTATCCTCATTTTATCTTGCCAGAAGGATAGAGCTCTTCATCTCTGTTAGAAACGACCATCAAAAAGATACATCAATTCATTAGAATCAAAAGGTAGGCTTTTTTAAGTGTTAAATGACAGGAACATCGTTGTTAAGGTTTGCTTCTAAAGCACGGATCCTTTCAAGGTGACCTAGGAAATCTGAGCAAGGTGGGTGAGGAGGAAATTATTTTATGTTAGAAATAGTTACTTCATTGTTACCTCTTTTGAGTTTTCTAGGTCTTTTAAAATCTGATCATTTAATGACAAGTCATATTTCACAGTCATTAAAAAAAGTTTCAGGTGGCCGTTTCCAATTGGAAAACTGGCTGGGCACTGTGGCTCATGCCTGTCATCCCAACATTTTGGGAGGCCGAGGTCGTTGGATCACTTGAGGTCAGGGGTTGGAGACCAGCCTGGTCAATATGGTGAAACCCCGTTTCTACTAAAAATACAAAAATTAGCCAGGCATGGTGGTGGGCACCTGTAATCCCAGCTACGCAGGGGGCTGAGGCAGGAGAATCACTTGAATCCAGGAGGTGGAGGTTGCAGTGAGTCGAGATCGTGCCACTGCACTCCAGCCTGGGAGACAGACGGAAATTCTATCTGAAAACAAAAACAAATTGGAATAATATCTAAAGTTATAAATTTGGCAACTTAACAACTATATCCTTTAAAGTAGAACCATGCAAAATTCATGTATCATGGCAGTCATAATCGTGTGAAAACAACATCCACATATTATGCAGGTGCATCACAAATGGACACGCCCTGTAATTTATTCCTTCTGAACCAAGTCCATCTGAGTTCATCCTGGGAAGACTGATGCCTGAATCTCTGATTAGGTTCATAAGTAAATAATCATCATATTCATTCATGCGTTTCTGCCACAAATATGCCCTAAATCAGGAAGGTACATAGCTATGATTCATGCCTTCAGTGATTTTAAGGGGAAAAAAAGGCACCTCTCTGTGAGTTACGAGTCTGAGCCAGGGTGAGGATAAAATGACATGAGCTAATCACAGTAGTGAAAGGTGACATTTTCCCATCAGACTGAATCATGATAACAAGACAATAACAAGATATGTGTGAGAACATTCCCCTGCCAGAGGACAACCCTGCAGCCTCATTTTGCAGCTAATGACATTTTTCATTTTAAAACCATTCCATTTTTCTTATAGATGTATTTGATTACGTGAAATACAATCACACAATCACTTTAGAATAATCAGAACATACAGATTATTTTTAAAAACTTAAAGAAAAATTAAACTCACTGTTATGGTTTGGATGTTTGTCCCCTCCAGATCTCATGTTGAACCTGCAACCCTGGGAATGGCATTTCAGCATGAGATTTGGAGGTGATTGAATCATGGATGCCCAAATCATGGATTTGAAGGTGACTGAATCATGGAGGCCCAATCCCTCATGAATAGTTTACCACCATCCCCTTGGTGATAAGTGAGTTTGCACTCCATTGGTTCACACGAGGTCTGGTTGTTTAAAAGTCTGGGACATCCCCACCCCTCACTCTCGTTTCTGCTCTTACCATACAACGTGCCTGCTCCTGCTTCACCTTCCACCATGATCGTAAGCTTCCTGATGCCTCCCCAGAAGCTGAACAGATGTTGGCGCCGTGCTTGTACAGCCTGAAGAACCATGAGCCAATTAAACCTCTTTGCTTTATAAATAATTACCCAGCCTTAGGCATTCCCTCACAGCAACACAAGAGCAGCCTAATACAGTCACCCATATCCCCTACCATCAAGAGACAAAAACAGTTTACATTTCAGTAACATTTCTCAAATAAATATAAACCTAAAAATGCAGAGTTATATAGTATTTTCTCCAACAACAGCAATGCCTTTAGTTTCTAGGAAATGTGAAATTTCAAGGAATATTTGCCAGATACAAGTATGCAAAATTTCAAAAATGTAAAATTAATTTCAAAGAATATTTGCCAGATACAGAAAGGTAAAATTTCAGCCTAACTATAGCATGCAAAAGCAATGAGTCACACAAGCTTTCTCTGATTCACTCCTGATGGAGTTTAAGGCATTGTTCTGTATTTTACAAAAATGTAAAATTAATTTCAAAGAACATTTGCCAGGTACAGAAATGTAGAATTTCAGCCCAACTATAACATGCAAAAGTAATGAGTCAGACAAGATTTCTCTGATTCACTCCTGATGGAGTTTAAGGCATTGTTCTGTATTTTACAAAAATGTAAAATTAATTTCAAAGAACATTTGCCAGGTACAGAAATGTAGAATTTCAGCCCAACTATAACATGCAAAAGTAATGAGTCAGACAAGATTTCTCTGATTCACTCCTGATGGAGTTTAAGGCATTGTTCTGTATTATAGACTTGCCTCTGTAGCCACCTGTTAATACCTTTTGTGCCTGCACTCTGCCATGTCCCAGTGAAAGCATTAGTCAGCATATAGCTGTTTCTGGCGCTCTTTCTCTCTAATATAGCCTTAGAAGCCACTTTAAAATTTTCTACGGGCCAAACCTTTATCTTCTAAATCTGACTCTTCCATTGAGACCAGTAATCCATTAGTCCATGGAGTCTGCATTGCTTTCAATCTGGACACTGCATTGTTATTTAGGATTCAATGCCTCCTGACTCCTACAGATGGCATTTTTTTTTTTTTTTTTTTTTGAGATGGAGTCTCGCTCTGTCACCCAGGCTGGAGTGCAGTAGTGTGATCTCAGCTCACTGCAACCTCTGCCTCCCAGGTTCAAGTGATTCTCCTGCCTCAGCCTTCCGAGTAGCTGGGATTACAGGTGCCTGCCACCACACCCAGCTAATTTTTTGTATTTTTATTAGAGACGGAGTTTCACCATGTAAGCCAGGATGGTCTTGATCCCCTGACCTTGTGATATGCCTGCCTCAGTCTCCCAAAGTTCTGGGATTACAGGCATGAGCCACCACGCCCCGCCCAGATGGCTAATTTAAGATGACCTTATGCTGACTAAACAAAAGGTGGGCCAGGCAGGCTGGATTGAGAGTAAAATGTTTAATAACTAAGGATATAAAGCAACCTTTCCCCCCAAAGTAATTGTCTTGTGGAAATTTTTTAAATCAACAAAATAATGGTATTTGCAGCAACCTGGATGGAGTTGGAGACCATTATTCTAAGTGAAGTAACTCAGGAATGGAAGACCAAATATTGTGTGTTCTCACTCTTAAGTAGCATCTAAGCTATGAGGATGCAAAGGTGTAAGAATGATACAATGGACTTTGGGAACTTGGGGAAAGGGTGGGGGGAGGTGAGAGATAAAGGACTACACATTCTAGCCAGTGTTCACTGCTCAGGTGATGGGTGTACCAAAATCTCAGCAATCACCACTAAAGAACTTATCCATGTAACCAAACACCACCTGTTCCCCAAAAACTATTGAAATAAAAATTATGATAATGTTTTTGAAAAGACAAGTTTAAATCTCTCACTCACCCTTTCTCTCCCACTCCCTCCTCTCTCTCTATTTCTGGAGGGATGGGAATCAAATAAGCAGTTGGCTGCAGTTTATATTAATTAAATGTTTGGTTTATTGTAAAAGTTTTTAATCTTTATTTTTAAATCATGATAACTTATAAACAAACTTGTCGATATTTGAGTAGTCATAGTTTGACTTTTCCATGTCCATATTCTCTTATGCTTTTTATGTAAAACATTAAAATTAGAAATGTAAAAGTCTACCAAGAGGGTAAAGAGCAGAAAAAATCTTTTTTATTAACAGAATATATATCTAAGTAGAGAACTTGTGGAAATTATGCACATGGACAAATTCCAATTTCACACTGTAGGCTTCCGTAATTTTATTTTTCAGGACATGAGTTATCAGAATTCTTTCTCCTGAAAGAAAGTGGAGATCAAAGGTAAAACTTCTAGAGAATGAGATGAAGGCAGATGAAAGAAGTTAACAAGACATTACATGACTTGATAATATTGCATGTATGCAAAAACCTTATGAAATCAACTGTGTTCTAGCGACCACTTGTTTTTCTTTTTGTCATAATACTTTTTATTCTCTTGCAATGATATTGATTCATCTGCACCTGACATCAACTCTGCATTTGTAGAAGGTGATAAGAATACAGGGAAATGGAATAAGTGGCTTTGCCTGCAATCCCGCAGCAGCAGAAATGTCCATTTCCTCTCTCCTGAATAATACTACATTCTCCACTGGGTTCCACAAGTTTCGAGGTAAAAGCATGAACATACACGAAGTCACCATCACTACCCTCACCACCACCACCATTATTTCCACCATATTCACCCTTTTAATACGCAAACTTCCTCCAAGGCTTCCTGAAGTCACCCAGAAATGCATTTCCCCAAGAGTGAGTTGTGCTAACATTGTATCCTATGGAACTCTGGGAAGCTACCCAGATCCTCAACTCTTGGAGTCTTGCTGACTGCATGTTCCAGGCTCCACATTTAAGCTCCAGTGACTGCTGATGACTGCATGACCTAACACATGTCCTCAATCCTTTCTTGGCCTCAGTTTCTTCACCAGTGAATTCTGAATGCTGGAATTGGCAATATTTCAGGTTCTTTCCAACTGGAAATACCCATGCTAATAATTTTAGTAAGTCAATAGCCATAGAAACCTACTGACAAAATGAGTATTTTAACAGAGACAGTTGTACTTTCTTAATTTTTAGCAGAAGGGAATGCATATGTATAATATCTATGTTGCCTTCTATGTGTAAAAATAAATACACAGACACAGATGTCTTGTTTTTTGTAAGTTCAGAGACCATTATTCATTCAGTCGTTCATTCCACAAATATTTATTGTGTATGTCAGTCAGGTTCTCCTGCATAATAGACTGTTTGCAAACAAAGTAGCTTTAAATAGAATTATTTGATTGCTCACAATTTTGTAGGTTGGGAATTTGGTCTAGCTTCAGCTGAGATGGGTTCACTCACGTGTTTACAGTAACTGGGGGTTCAGCAGTGTAGTTATGTGTCAGGCAGTGGGTGCCGGCTCTGGGCAGAGGTGATAGGGGATCACAGGGCATGTGTCCTTCACCCAACAGGCTAGCTGAAGCCTGTTCAGGGGTGACCATTACAGGCTTCCCAAGAGCAGCAAGAGAGGACAGGCTTCAAAAAGGAAGCACTTTTTTAACCCCATTTAAGTGATATTTACTAAATTACTATTGATTAAAGCAATTCCCCGTTCCAACTTCAGATTGGAGATGTGAAAGAATAGATTTCCTCTTTGGTTAGAAGGAAGGGGAAAATCATTTGCAAAGGAGTGTGACTAAGTGAGGGTAAAATTTTGTGGCCACTTTTGAAGCCTAACTCCATGGGTTTCTACTCTATGCCCAGCAATGGGTGATTTGATAACAAAGCATCCCGCCCCAACAAAACAAAGTAACAGCAGACTGGACCAGTTTTTGTTGTTGGTGGTAGTGGTTTTTTGTTTGTTTGTTTGTTTTTGTTTATTTTTTTGCTGTTGGTGCTTTGGTTTTACATTTCATTGTAATAGAAACTTTTTTAACAGTGGTTTTAGGCTCACAGCAAAATTTAGATGAAGGTACAGAGATTTCTTTAATACTCCCTGCCCCCACACATGCACAGCCTCCCCCACTATCAACATCCACACCAGGGTGGTACGCTTGTTACAATGAATGAACCTGTAGTAAGAGATCACTGTCACCCAAAGTCCACAGTTTATATATTAGGGTTCACTCTTGGTGTTGTACATTCTAGGTTGGGACAAATGTAGAGTGCCATGTCTATAGCATGATAGTGCCACACATTATGGTTTCACTGGCCTAAACACCCTCTGTGCTCTCCCAACCAAGTCGATCACTTTTTAGGGTAAGAATGGTCAAGGCGGGGATCTCTAAGGAAGAAACACTTAAGCTGAGACTAGAAAGATGAATAGGGGTTAGCCAGGTGAAAGAAGTTAGACAGGACAGAGGATTGAAGGGTTCTCCAAGCAAAGAGAAGGGCATGTTGCGGGGTATGGGTTAGGTAAAAGCCTGATGTGTTTAAGGAAGAGGAGAAAGGCCAGTGTGGTGGGTGAGGGATGAGGGGCAGAAGGTGGGCATGTGGCTGGAAAGGTGGGCAGGGCTGGTGCACAGAGTGAAGGTGATGGAGACCACTAAAAGATTTTAAGCTGGGAGCTTCAGGGTCTGCGTGGTTCTTTCTAAGAGGCCTCTGGAATGAATAGGAAGGGACAAAAGTCAGAGCAGATAGACTGGCCCACTTTCAGATGCTGTTCTTTCCCTTCTTGCTCATGTTCCTCCATGGTTGACCCTCCAGAACATCAGCTATGTTGAGTCCTCCACCTCCTATGAGCAGCAGGCATGGAACACAGACTCCGTGACCCTCAAGAGGCCTAGAGGGAAGTGGCTCTGATGTGACCTGCCCAGGTGAGTGGTGCTCGAGGCAGGGCATTCCACTCTCAGAGGCAACAGAGGCAGATCTGCTTCTTCTGGGGCCTCTGCAGGGTTAGGGGCTGACAGAGTGGGAGCATCGCCATCTTGGACAAGCCCCTCATTCTAAAGTTCACCTTAATAAAAAAACACCTAAATCCAAAAGGCATCAGCCTAATGGCTACGGTCAGCATGACCATAAACCACAAATAACATCTCTGACCAGAAACATTCCAAATGCCCCCCGCAAACAAAGACATGCTAGCCCCAAGATAAGTCCTCTCTGACCAGGAAGATGCCAGCCCCAAAATAAGCCCCCTCCTGCCAGAAAGATGTCTGCCCTAGACAAACTCGCCTCCTCCCAGAGACATTTCAACTCTGCCATAAAACTTCTCCCTTGCACAGGAACATTCCAAGCTTGTAATAAGCCCCTCATCCTAAAACCAATATGTAGTCTGTAAGACAAAGCACTCCTGACTGAAATCAGCCAGAGGCCCCTCTCAGGTTTTATCTAAAGTAAACCTGTCTTTAACTGCCAGGCCGCGTTTCATGTTAATTTCATTTTTCTTTAACTCTTACAGGGGCTTCCTCTGCCTTAAAGACAGGTGGAGATGGGGGACCCTGGGCTTTCAGGAAGCAGTTTAACTGCTCTAAACAGGCTTCAATTGTAATGCCCAGGAGATTTCCTTCATTTTGTGGCAAAGGAGGTAGTAGAATCTCAACACTAAATCCTCGAAGATATATATTACTTTGCAGGGGTAGCAAACAGCATGCCCAGGTTTTAAAGAACAAAAGTATTCATTTTTGTTGCTATTGTTTGTTTTCTTTAAGAAAAATGGGAAACTCTATGCACGTACAGTGACACAAACATAAACATAAGGTTCGTGTTTCCAGGACTCTAAGCACAGTGGTCTGGCCAGCTTGAAGTCACCCCAGCACTTAGCCCCATGTGTGAATCGCAGACCTAAAGGGTGCTGCCCCCCCTGCACCACCATCCCAGCCTCACCCCATCTCCCTTCTACACCCAAGCACAAATCCATGAGAACATGGGCATGTGGCCAGAGATGCAGTCCTTATCATCTTCAGCCAACAGGACTCTGAAAAGCATCTTAAATTAAGTGATTTATTAATACACCAAATAAGTAAAGGACCTGAAAGAAGCTTCTAATTAGAATGGTAAAATAATGTATTATCCACATTAGGGCATTTCTAAGAGTGACAGGAGAATGCTATAATTAGCGGGCACAATAGGCATAAACAGAGCCTGCATCACATGTGGGTGATAGATGAACAATTCAGTTACCTAGTGACAGATATTTTTGTTTACAAGAATGATTTCATGCTCATTTAAATGGTGCTATATTGCACTGGATATTGCCTCTAATTTTCAAAATCATTTTTCTTAATTTAGAGACATAAGTATTAATAATATGGAAAAAACAAATGTTGCATTGATAATGAAAATAAAAAGTAATACAAATCACATAGAAGCATGAAATTATTTGCAGAAAATAAATTTTTCCCCACGAAGTAGCTTTTCTGGCCATTTAAGAAAGCAGAGTTGACAGGAAAGTCACATGGGAGCCAGGGCTTAGAACGTTTGCAGCTGCTTCTTTTGTTCTGTGATGCATCATCTTTCATGTTTGACTTCCTCCTTGCTTGCAATTTCACAGTTTGAAAAAAGCTTTTTCAATAACTGGGATGAGTTGTACTTAGCTGGTTTCCTAAATTACATCATTTTTGAATGGGGGAGTATGGCCTAGTGGTAGCCACTCTGAGAGTGTGTGAAAATGACTGGGTAAGGAGGGGGAGTTCTTACACAATGAAACCCTATTAATTCATTTCCAAACTCTCTGCATTCTACTGGACCACGTCTTGGAGATCTGTCTCTCAACTCTGCCCAAGCAATCATGACACAACTATCCAGAAACAAAGGGTCATTATTTACCCAGATTTGTAATCCAAACTTTTTTTTTTTTCTTTGAGACAGAGTCTCGCTCTTCGCCAAGGCTGGAGTGCAGTGGCTCGAAATCGGCTCACTGCAAGCTCCGCCTCCTGGGTTCACACCATTCTCCTGCCTCAGCCTCCTGAGTAGCTGGGACTACAGGCAGGCACCCACAACCACGCCTGGCTATTTTTTTTTTTTTTTTTTGTATTTTTAGTAGAGACGGGGTTTCACCATGTTAGCCAGGATGGTCTCGATCTCCTGACTTCGTGATCCCTCTGCCTCGGCCCCCAAAGTGCTGGAATTACAGGCGTGAGCCACTGCACCCGGCCTGTAAATCAAACCTTTAAGCACAATGATTCACTTTATTCCAATAATCACTGGTCTTGATTTGCATTTCCCTAAGGACTAAAGATATTGAACGTTATTCTGTGCTCATTGGCCATTTTGTTTGGAGAAACATCTGTTCAAGTCTTTTGCCCACTTTTTAATTGTGTTATTTGTCTTGTTGAGTAGTAACAATTTTTTGTTTGCCTTAAAATATATTTTTATGCTAAGATACAGAACCCAGACACCAAATGTCACAATATTTATGGTTCTATTTATATGAAACATCCAGAATAGGTAGATCTGTGGAGAAAAAAAGGCAGATTCCTAATTATCAGGGGCCATGGGGAGAGGTCATTAGGGAGTAGCTGCTTGTTGGAGAATGGCTATTATCAGGGTTTCCTTTTGGATGATGAATTTTTTTTTTTTTTGAGACAGAGTCTTGCTCTGTCATCCAGCCTGAAATGCAGTGGCATGATCTCAGCTCACTGCAACCTTTGCCTCCCAGGTTCAAGCAAGTCTTCTGCCTCAGCCTCCCAAGTATCTGAGATTACAGGTGCACATCACCACGCACAGCTAATTTTTGCATTTTTAGTAGAGACGGGGTTTCACCATTTTGGCCAGGCTGGTCTCAAACTCCTGACCTCAGGTGATTCACTCACCTCGGCCTCCCAAATTGCTGGGATTACAGGCGTGAGCCACCATGTCCAGCTGGGTGATAAAAATATTTTGGAACTAGATAGAGGTGGTAATTTTACAACACTGTGAATTTAGCAATTAAAAAAATTATTGACCCTGGATAATGTTGAATTAATGAGATGGAGATATTCCAAATAAAAGAATATCTGCAAGTATCACATATTAATGTTAAAAAATAAAATAATAATAATGTGTTGACCATGTATCTCTTGACCTGTGTCACTGTGTTTGCCATTACTATATGGTTGTGATGGGGATGGCCAGTGCCCTCCCTAAGTTAGTTGTAAAATCGTGAGGGATTTACGTTTCCCTGATTTCTTTGGTATCTGCATTTCAGATGTCATGTCTCTCCCATATCACATATCTAAAGGCCCAGGTTGTCCTCTTACCTTTGTTCTGCCCAAGATGAGAACCCAGGACCATGCGTATCCTAGTGGGATCCTACTCCAGTTGACATCAGTGGGGTAACACATCCTTTGTTGGTTCTCTTTCCTGTATCACTTTCCCACTTCTCCACTAGTGCTTTCTGGATTATCTTCCACATAAACCCTGAGAACTTGAAACCTTGTCTCGGGATCTATTTCTGAGTGACATCAAACTGAAACAAAATTCATCTCACACCTGGTGAAGTGGAGAGGTGCATCTTCCCACCACAATCTCATACTGGAGGGGAAATTACAGGACAGAGAAAATGCTCTTGAAATTAATGCCTTTTTAATGTCCAATTTTCAGGGCTCTTCCATTTCAATCCTTTGATACCCTCAAGATTTACTGCATTACCAGTGGTCAGCACCTCACTTTGGAAAGGGGGAGTACTTGCCATCCATCGTTTTCTGAGTCCTGAAAGAATCCGCACATAATATCTTGTTATAGATATCAAGAATAGTATAGCAAATGGTGGTGCACATAAGGTATAATTTGGAAATAAAACATTACGAATACTGCTCATGCCTCCTGGGCGCACTTCTCTAATTTTCTCCTCCTTTGCTTTCCTCTAATGCAACCATTGCCCTAAATTTTGTTTTAATCATCCTCAGGGCCTCCTTTAATAAGGAGTTTATTTGGCAAAAGAGCGTGAAGACATCATCTACAATACCATCTGTGATAATTCATAAAGTAGAGATTTCACATTTAGACTCACAGTTATCAGATCTAATGAGTACTAATGTTTCCAGTAGATACAATCTATTTCATTGTGTTTTACGTTACTAGGTCTAATACATCATTTGCCAATAAGAGCACTGAAAACTTAAGACTTTAAAAGAAAGTTCCATATTAAATCTGTCAGATATTTACTCTAACATAGAACTCCAGCGTCCACTTTTGTATTGCCTCCTTGCAAATAATTTGTTTTTCATAATTAATGTTTACTTAAAATATGACAAGGTGCTTGTTTCTGTCCATGGAAAGGTTCACTTGAATACAAAGCAAATATTATTTTATATAATTCTAGGTTGTGATCATGCTAATTTATTGCATTATTTTCTAGTAAAATATTATTATTGGCAGCACATTTCATAGGGGAAAAGAACTAAAGATATTTTATGGCGGCAGTCAGTGTTTAGAGAAGTAATTGAAATGTGTAATGAAGTCAAAGAAAGCTACAAGGATAATTCACAATCCTTCATTCAGCAAAAATATCAGCTTATGTTCAGTGGTGGTTATTGGCATGTAACTTGCAAAAAATAATGTTTCGGGAGAAATCATACACTTATTTTGTAAATACAGGCAGGTAAATTGGAAGCTCTGTGATATATCTAAGTTCATACTTTTTGGGTGTGCCTTGAAAACAAATGGAATGCATTGACTTCTATTCTTTCTTCCTAACTCAGCCAGGAGTCTGCGTGGTAAGGGATCACATGGGGATATGTCTCATGCTGGAGAAGGTGGCACCTTTCATTCTATGTACGGACATTGAACATCTTCGAAGGGAAGTGGAAACATCTTCAAAGTACCTACGTATCAAAGAAAAAGCATTTACTTAAACCTCAGAGAAAGTAGCAAACACTTCATTTAGAAAATACCTGACACTAAAACTAATATTCCACCTTAGAAGATAGAACATTTGCCTTCTAATATTTTGTTTAGAGAAACACTGAACAGGAACTGAGATCTATAGAGTTTCAGGAGAAATTGCTTTAACGCTTCAATCGCTACATCAAACAGTGTTTCATGTTCAGAAGCTAAGATATACACTCTGACCAATTAATGTTTTAAACCTGAAAAACACCATCCTTTTAAAAACACATAAAAACAATATCACCATTCAGCAGTCAATTTTTGAACTATGTGTCAAACCTGCTGTGGGCAATATTTTATTTATTTTGAAATAGCATCCAAATAGGAGGCACAGCCCCATCTCTGATTAAAATGGAGCGCACTAAATGTTTTGATTCCTGAAGTGAAAGATATTAAAGGGCTCAATGGAATAACTGTGTGGCTGAGACCAGCACTATCTGTCAAGTCTGAGGGTTATCTTGAGCTGTGTCCCTGGGCGGGTGTCTGCCGGCCATCTCTGAGCCACAGGGCTGGGCAGCTCCACCTCCACCTGCCACTTGGATTGTGGGATCTTCAGGACACTGCTGCTGAACTGGGGATATGGGTGTGGCCACTCTGCCTGCCCAGTGACCTCTCCCTGTCGGCTGCTGCTCGATGACCTGTGCAGGCAGAGGGCCCCTTTCTTCCCCAGCATCCTCTCTACCTGATGGAGGGGTTGGGGTTCCTTCATCTCATGATGGAGAAGAAAAGTTTTGCTCAAGGGAAGATGAGGCTGCTGGGGATCTGGGCTTCTGTGCATGGACTCTCCTGTGCTTGTAGGTGGTTACACATCTGCAATTATATTTGGACGAACAAATGCTGAACATGTCCAGTTTCACTGCACTTCCCCAGCACCAACGTCCCCATCATTTACATGCAATTTCCGTCCCAGCATCAGCAGCTTACTCATGGATCAGGCCATCAGAGGTGGGTGAAGGCCCAGATGATTCTATTTCTTGACCTGATAAGCTGGGTTTTTTTTTAATGGCGAAATGCTAATATAGGATTACAGAAACTGTCGTGTATTTCAAATGCTTACAATCTCTAAATTAATACTTTAAATAGATGAATGTATGTGTACGTACTTGTGCTAGCAACATGTAATTATACCCCTTAAGACACAGTGACTCGCAGTGCACTGCAGATTTTGTTGCCAGGTCCTATGTGTGTGTTTTAAGGTTGGTTTATGGCTGCCAGCTGTCTTTTTTCCATCCTTCTGGGGACACGGTCTCCCTGGCAGATAATGCTGTGAGTCGTCTTCAAGATCCTTCTTGAATGACAGACGCCACTTCAAGTGGCCCTCCTGGCGCCTACCCACAGTTTCTGCTCTGGGGAATGGACTGTTCTAATTCTCTCTACCCTGGTGAGGAGCACAGCTTCAGAGTCAGAGGGAACTGGATTTCATTCTGGCAGCTGCTGCATACTAGTTGTACGACCTCAGACAAATCAACTTTTCTTTTTTTCTCATTTGTAAAATAGGTATAACAATAACCTAGGCTTCTGTGCATGAACTCTTCTGTGTTTGTAGCTGTTTATACATCCAGGCATACATCGCATTTATTCAGTCCAATAACTATTAAAATAGATGTATAATAACTACATCTATTTTTAATAGTAATAATTAATAATTATTGCTGGACGGAATAATTGCTGGATGGAATAAATTAGATAATGCATATTAAACAATTAGCACAATACCTGGTACTTAATTGTTCCTCAATTATTATTATATTATTAAAAATTAGCACGTTAATAATATTCAAATAATAATATTTCTAATTGCTCTATTATTCTAAGTACATGTTATAAGTATTTTACATTTATATACTATATATTTGCAAGTGTTCATTTATATATACACACATTATGTATTTATAAAATATATATATATATATAAACATACAAATGTACTACGACTTTCTGAAGATCAAGAACTAATCTACCAAAATTCTCAGTAGAGTACTATGCATGAAGTTAGAGTTTGGAGAGTATTTGTATCAAGGACTTGGTTAATTTAAGAAAAGAACATGGATACTCTTTTTCTAAAGTATAAATCCTGCTTTAAAAATAATTAGTTGGTTCAATACAATAAAGATGATATCTATATATTTTCAGCATATTCTCACTTCAAATTAAAGGTAAAGATTCATTATAATCAACTGAAGGATAAAAATAAATATTAGGCCAGGCTTGGTGGCTCACGCCTGTAATCCCAGCACTTTGGGAGGCTGAGGCAGGTGAATTGTTTGAAGTCAGAAGTTTAAGACCAGCCTGGCCAACATGGCAAAACCCTGTCTCTACTAAAAATACAAAAATTAGCTAGGCAAGATGGCTCATGCCTGTAATTCCAGATACTCAGGAGGCTGAGGCGGGAAAATCACTTGAACCCAGGAGGCGGAGGTTGCAGTGAGCTGAGATTGTGCCACTGCACTCCAGCCCGGGTGACAGAGGAAGACTTCATCTAAAAATAAAAATAAAATCAATTATGAAAATATAATGCCAGAAGGCTTTTCTTTTTCTTTTTGTAGGGATCTGAAGCCAATTCGTCAAACTACAAATTTGGCAAATTTAATGTTTTTCTCTGCCCATTGATATGTGTTTTAATATCTCAAAATGTGTAAAGCTAATGTAATGATTACTGATTTGAACCAGGACTGAGTTTGCAGCAGTTCATCTCCAATCTCACACGCAATCATGACATGGCCTGCTTAAAACATTGTCCTTTCTGATAACCTCATGCCCTGTAATTTAGTTGTGGGCCATTCACGGTCATCATAACTGGGCAGCTTTTTGTTTAGAGTTCCAAGATTGAGACAGGAAAAAATAGGACAGATGATGTGCAGAGAGCTGTGTGTTTTCCCATGAATTATCACAGATCAATGAGATAGGGTGTATTTGCCAATGCAAAGGGCTCTGATCTTTTGGAAGCCGTGGCCCAGTTGATGACATAAATGTTGCTGATTCATTCCTCAGTATGTTCACATACCGAGGATGTCAAAATATGTCCATTCTGACGATGTCCCAAGGCCAGTAATAAAGCAAGAGTGGCCAAGGAGCAGCCATCTCTTCCTGGCAGGATCCTCAGGACCACCTGGCCAGGACCTGCCAAGAGAGGATGAGCGAGTTCTTAGTGTTACTGGAAAGGGGTCTGGATCCAGACCCCAAGAGAGGCTTCCTGGATCTCAAGCAAGAAATAATTCAGGTCAAGTTCATAAAGTGAAAGCAAGTTTATTAAGAAAGTAAAGGAATAAAAGGATGGCTATTCCACAGACCCTGCAGCAACACAGCAGCCCCAAGGGCTGCTGGTTGCCCATTTTTATGGTTATTTATTGATAATTTGCTAAACAAGTGTTGGATTATTCATGCCTCCCCTTTTTAGACTACATAGGGTGACTTCCTGAAGACAATCTGTGTGTGTGTCTCTCTCTCCCTCTGATATGGTTTGGCTGTGTCCCCACCCGAATCTCACCTCGAATTATAGCTCCCATAATTCCCACATGTTGTAAGAGGGACCAGGTGGGAGATAATTGAAACTTGGGGGTGGTTTCCCTCATACTGTTCTCCTGATAGTGAAAAAGTCTCATGAGATCTGATGGTTTTATAAGGGGAAACCCCGTTTGTTTGGCTGTCTGATTCTGTCTTGCCACAGCCATGTAAGAAGTGCCTTTCTCCTTCCACCATGACTGTGAGACGTCCCCAGCCACATGGAACTGTGAATCCGTTAAAACTCTTTTACTTTATAAATTACCCAGTCTCTGGTATGTCTTTACCAGCAGCGTGAAAACAGACTAATATACCCTCTCTCTTTTCCATTTTCTTTTCCATTCACCTTGTCGGTGGCTGTCATGAAGAAAGACATTCAGTTGGACTCACCCACGCATTTCAGCCTGCTCAGAAAGTCACAAATAAGACCCAGGGTGAGGCAGCAAACACTAAAAGGAAAACATTCCTTTCCTCCTCAGAGCAGGCTTTGTGGGACAAAAATACACACCTCCCCCCAGAGACTGCAAGTAAACTAAATGTGCTAAGAAACTTAAACCCACAGTTTTTGATGGTTGAATTATTTTGGACCGGATTACACCCATCGTGGCATTGGGGTCACCACAGCATCCCTCCTAAAAGTTTAGAGAAAGATGTGTTTAGAATCTCCTTAAAGATGCTGATGGCATTAAGGGTCTAAAGACATTTCAGAACAACTTCATAAATTAAAACACACACACACACACACACACACACACAAAACAAAAAACATCTAGGAACAGAAGCAACAGACAGGAATTGGAATCTTACCAAAAGATTGTCTGTGGTAGAGACACCATCTAGAAGGTGAATCCCAGACACGTTTTTAAGAACAAGATCAGTATTAACTGCATGGAAACTTCAAAAGAAAATTCAGCCTGGGGGACAGGAGCATATCAAAGTTTAAATCCAGTAAAGACTTGTGTAATCATAAGCTACAGGCAGTTGTGGGATAAAGAGAGACCCACTATCTCATTGTTAAAATATTGTGGAATTTATTGCAACATGCCCTGCTGCTACTAAAAACTAGAAGAATGAAGAGAAAAGCTGGAAGGTTTTATATAGCGGTCTTAAAAATCCATCTTAAAAAAATGAAAATTTTAGCCTAACATCCAGATGGTTGCTCCCAATTTACCATTCCAGTGCGAGAATATTTACAAATGCCCAGATGTTCGACCGTTGAAACACTGCCAGCTCTGGTTTCCTCCGCCTTCTGCGGATTACTCATCTCATACTCTACCCAAGTCCTTAGAGTGGTAGCAATTAATCTCTTTGTGTAAGATCTCGTGAGCTCAGTCATCCGTTTTTTTTTTCCCCTTAACCCTCATTTTTCAGGGAACAAGATAGCAATCACTGTAAACTTAAGATAAAATTTGAGTTTCTAAGAAAGTATAAAAGGCAACTTTTAGGAAAATAAAAGTGAGGTTATAGCTTTGGAGAAAGGGTAAAGTTGTTGGAGTGAAATAATATATGTCTTTAGAAAATGCAAATAGAGGATTATAATTTTAAAAGATGGCTGGCTTATCATCCACAAGGGTGAATTCATCATATTTTAGAGTACCATTCCCCCTTTTCGTTCTCTCTTTCTCTTTTCTTCTCTCTCCCATAGACCAAACACTGCAAAGCAGAGAAAGGGAGGGGTAGAAACTTTCCCTGTAATGTTTCTTTTTAACTTGCCCAACACATTTTGAGCTTATTTAGTGTAAAACTTGTAAAACATACCAAAAACCCATCATTTGGCAGATGTATCATTTTCTATGAGGTGAGTGAGTGAGAGTGTGTTTAACATAGTTGCTGAGCTAGTACTGCAAAGAAGATTGAGGTCTACAGAAATCATTTGAAGTGGAGAGGTAAAAGGATCCCCTTATTAGAAATTAGAGGCCATGTAGAGAGAAGAAAATATTAAAGAAGAGATGAAGACCTAGGGATATAATCAAAATATATTACGATGTAGAAATCACTTTAAAAACAAAATAGCTTAAAAGAGTAGAAAATGCTTATCTCTGAGTAGAGAAATGTGAGTGATGGTTGCTTTTATGTGTCAACCTGGTTGGGCCATGAGATGCCCAGATAGCAGGTTGGTATGGTTTGGATCTGTGTCTCCACCCAAATCTCACGTTGAATTACTATTCCCAATGTGGGAGGCAGGACCTGATGGGAGGTGATTGGCTCATGAGGGTGGAGTTTTCATGAATGGTTTAACACCATCCCCCATTGGTACTGTCTAGTGAGTGACTTCTCACCAGATTTGGTTGTTTCAAAGTGTGTGGCACCTCCCCCATCTCGCTCTTCCTCCCACTCTGGTCATGCAAGATGTCCCTGCTTCCCCTTCGCCTTCACCATGATTGGAAGTTTCCTGAGGCCTCCCCAGACGCCGCCATGCTTCCTGTACAACCTGTGGAACTGTGAGCCAATTAAACCATTTTTCTTTATAAATAACCCAGTCTCAGGTATTTCTTTACAGCAGTGTGAGAATGGACTAATGCATTGGTTAAGCATTATGCTTCGTGTGTTGGTAAGGGTGTTTCTAGAAGAAACTAGAATGTGAATCTGTGAACTAAGTAAAGCAGACATCCTCCTCATGGTAGGTGGACACGGTCCAATACACAGAGGGCCTACATTGGAAAAAAGGCAGAGGAAAATTGAATTAACTTCACCTGATGCTTAAGGTGGGGCATTAATCTTCTGCCCTCTATGCTCGTGGTTCCCAGACCTCCAGACTCAGACTTCAATCTACACAATCGGCTTCAGGCTCTCAGGGATTCAAACTGTACCCCCAGCTTTCTTGGGTCTCCAGCTTGCAGAGGGCAGATTGTATACACACACACACACACACACCCTATTGGTTCTGCTTCTCTAGAGAACCATGACAAATACCATGGGAAATTGTTAGGGAATTGTTTATCTAACAAGCCGTATTGGGTTATTTGAATCTGTACATTTGTAATTGCCCATCTTTGATGTTTTTAAAGCAATTATCCTTGCCATGTTTTTCCTTTTCAGGTTTTCTTTTTAAAAATTTATATTTTCATATTAAAATGGTGAGAGTGACTCATGACATGTTAAAACATTTGATATTCCTTTCAAGTGGTCTGACTTATAGTTCAAATAATCTGTTATCCATGAGTTTACTACCTATTCTATAAGTTTACAGCAATATAAATCAAGGTCCATGTTCTCAAGTAACTCATAGATTTGCTGGAGACAGAAATCAGGTAAACATAAAAATCAAAGTAACAACATATTTCAGTCATTCTAAAATTCATGTTTTGTCACACCTTAAGATCACAGAAATTGCAAACCATCTTATGTTTGAATGGCATCTGAATGAGAATTGACAGTATTCATTCTTTGTAGTCCATAAAACTAATATTGTAATTTATAGTTGGCATTTCAGGCTCAATGAAGTATACTAAATATTAAAATTCAATTGTTAATTTTAATAAATAAAATATTTCACACTCAAAATGCAGGAAACAGGAGGAAGATGGGAACCCCCTGGAAATCTTAATGGAGAAGGGGATTCTTAAGGTTGAATGCAGGATGATGTTTATTCCTAACTCTTTCTTGAATGTGTGCTGGAGTGAACATTCTCTCTACTGCAGGACACCACCTAACTTAGTTTGGATCATTCCTTTTTTTTCTTTTTCTTTCTTTTTTTTTTTTTTTCGAGAAGGAGTTTCATTCTTTCACCCAGGCTAGAGTGCAATAGTGTGATCTCAGCTCACTGCAACCTCCATCCCCTGGGTTCAAGCGTTTCTCCTGCCTCAGCCTCGGGAGCCTCAGCTGGGATTACAGGATCCCACCACCACACCCAGCTAATTTTTGTATTTTTAGTAGAGGCAGGGTTTCCCCATGTTGGCCAGGCTGGTCTCAAACTCCTGACCTCAGGTGAACTGCCCACCTCTGCCTCCCATAGTGCTGGAATTACAGGCGTGAGCCACCGCACTCGGTCTGGATCATTCTTACCTAGATTATCTGTCATGAAGCTCTGCCCCTTCTCGGCCATCCAGCCAAATTTTCTTGGAACAGGTAAATTGTGATCTACCATTTGTATAAATCACACAAATTGTGTTTTCTTGGTGAAACACAATTTATCTGTGAAAGAAAGAAATGAATTTCTTTCCTTTGTGATCTACATCTAGCCCCCTTAGCTTCTGCCACCAGCAAAATAGTTGGTGTCTTTTTTACCCAGGCATGCTGTCCTCTTGGGCAGGACTTCATTCTAAGCATCCCCAGGCAGGTATTTTTACATCTATAATGGGGTCTACAGTGGGTTCCAAGGGTCACACAACTTTAGCCCACGACAGAGGGACACATTCTCTCCCCTGTTCCCCCTGGTGCAGCCCTCTGTTCAGCCATCCCTAGCTTTTTCTCGCCTTCTCAATGTGAGTCGGGCACCTGTCCTCTGTGCCTGCCTCACTGCGTGGGACACGTGGCCAGGCCTGCAAGTGCTGGTGGAGCTGTTCCCACTGGCCTGGGCTTAGGGGCTGGCTCCCTGTGCTTCCTGCTGGAGGTGAGGTGAAACCGGAAGCCCAGCTCTGTCCAAAGAAACCCTCCTTTCCAGTCCTCCATTGCCCTACCCTGACTTATCTTCAACAAGGCTGAGTCACCTCACTGGTCATTGTTGGTTTTGAAATGTCCATGTGGCCTGTCTCACAGCTCAGGGGTGAGGAATCTGTTTCCTATTACTTCTTGGTACCATAGGTTTAGCTCCCAGTGTACCATTTCTTTGCCAATAACTAACAGAAAGTTGCTGTTTACGTCTGCCTCTTGCAGCAGACTGGAAATCTTTGAAGTTTGAGATAATATTATGTTCATGGCTCTGTCATTAGATCCCAACAAAGGGAAAATTGCAAGGCAGGTTCTCAGTAGACACTTCTGTATTTGATGCATGAGGGCTTTCTAAGTGAGGAAATAACAAAAGCATAATGAGAAAAGGCCGGAAATGGAAATGCTGTGAAGGTCACCAGATATAGTTGCATAGGTTGTGCACTACTCAAATAAGGAGGCACCATTCACATACATGATCATATAAAAGATGCTTCTGAAGCAGCCTCATTGTCTGGAGTAAATCCCCAAGGTTTTCCATCTCATGCCAAGGAAATCGAGGACGTGGACACATGAGAAGTGAGTTTAAGAACAGAGGTTTAATAGGCGAGAGAAAACAGAAAAAAAAGCTCTTTCTCCTGCAAAGAAAGAAGTGCTCCCCACTGGATCTTCTGGTTCCACAATGAAATGCATGGGGTTTTATAGATGAGCTTGAGGAGGTGGTGTGTGATTAATACAGAGCACTAGAGATTGGTCAGACCAGGTGTGCCGTTTGCATAGCTTGCAAAGAAGCTGGCCAACCCACCCTACTCCTTTATTATGCAGATGGATTCTCTACCTGGCCAGTGCCATGTTGCCTGCTTTTTACTGCACACTTGGTGACAAAGAAAAGGAAAGAGGGACCCTCCACATTGAATATACCTGGCTTCCAGGTATCCCTTTTCTATTGGCACAACTGCCGGCATTTACCTATGCAAGCTTCCAGTTTGCTTATTTATGTCTGCAGCTCAGTTGTACAGGCTGTTCTTTGTGAGAAAAGAAATGATTTAGGGTGTGCTTTTTGTTAAAAGAGAAGCCTTACCAAGGACTCTCTTCTGCTCGCTAACTGCCTAAATAATTTCTTTTTAGCTCCTGTATCACTTGTTAGTGTTGGTCAGGGTACAACGTGAACAAGCCTCTGTAGCAGCCCTTTGTGGGTCTTGCCACTTCAGAGTAAAGTAATTATCACCCTATTCTGTTTCCTTGCTCAGATAGAATGTTCACAGATTTAGGTCCAGATTTATCAGAACACAGTTGACTCAAAGGGGAAGAAGTGAAATCAGAAAATCGCTGCACACAGCAATCTGGTGCAATCCCATTACCTAACTTTACTTGACAATTTCAATTTCAAATAAACTTCCAAATGACTTCAAGCAATACAATATAAATGTTTAATATCAATAAAACAAATTAACAATGCAAAACTAAAATATCAGTGCTAAAACTCAAAAATATCTTAGAGTTGAGACATTAAAAATCATTCATAGTGGAAATTGCTTTTGATAAAACAGTCTAGTCCATACAACCCTTTAAAATAGCTTATTTCTAGGCATTATGAAAAGTAAAAGTAGTCAAAGCAGGTAGCATCATTTCCTGCCTCACTGCAAGACAGCTGTAGGCAAGCAATGAAAAAGAATATCTATGCAAAGGGTTTGTTTTGATGTTTTCCACACTGTATTTAAAGTCATAAATTGCTGCAATTGCTGCAAAGGAAGTGTCTAGTCGGAAGCCTTTATGAACCTGTGTGAAAGCTCCAGTTCCTTGCAGGTGTGGCCTCAGACCTTTCTGGCAGATGGGAACCCTGGGCAGACCTCCAAGCTTTGCTCGGCTGGGGATAATTAAGAAGCACAAAGGAACTGGAGACAGAGGAAAAGAAATGAAAAGCTGCCTCAGAAAATTGGAGACCCACATGTTGACTAAAAGTGTCTGTGTGTTTATGTGTGTGTGGCAGGCAGCCCTGAATAAACCCCTCCTCCAGCAGGTATTCAGTGCACCCTAGCACAGGTAAGACAATCAAGAAGTTATAATCAGAAATTACAGGAATAATACAATATAACAAAGCAAAATTCAGCTAGTTAAAGAATAGAAATACAAAATCAAACGTCCAAACTACAGATGGGAAGAGCGGAAAAACAAAAGAATAAACGTTAATCAGCCCTAAACCAGGCAGCAAAGGAGAGAGAGAATAAAAAAGCAAAGAAAAGCATGGTAACCAAGTATTATCGACTTAAGAGGTAGCAGCAGAAGTATTCCAAGGAAGGAAACTCTTTGCTTCAGAAGGTGCCTAGATAAGCATTTGGACTGAATGTCTTGCCAGTATGAGTATAAGCAGAAGAGCAAATGAGCAAACAGGCAAAACAAAAAGCATTGCTTGGCTGCTCTTCCTAAGAAAATGAGGAAATTGGCACTACTTCTAAGATTTAAAGGAAGAATAGAGCATGCAATGGGCAGAGAAGGGCTAGCTTGCATGGACTTTTTAAATAATTAATTAATTTTTTTTGGTACATGAGTAAGCCCTTCAGTGGTGATTTCTGAGATTTTGGTGCACCCATCACCCGAGTAGTGTACACTGTACCCAATGCGTAGTCTTTTATCTCTCACCCCCCTCCCACCCTTTCCCCCAAGTTTGGAAAGTCCATTATATCATTCTTATGCTTTTGCATCCTCATAGCTTAGCTCCAACTTATGAGAATATATGATGTTTGTCTTTCCATTCCTGAGTACTTTGCTTAGAATAATGGTCTCCCATTTCATCTAGGTTGCTGCAAATGTCATTATTTCGTTCCTTTTTATGGCTGAGTAGTATTCCATGGTGTGCGTGTGTGTTTGTGTGTGTGTGTGTGTGTGTATCACATTTTCTTTTTCCACTCGCTGATTGATGGACATTTGGGCTGGTTCCAAATTTTTGGAATTGAGAATTGTACTGGTATAAACATGCATGTGCAAGTGTCTTTTTTATATAATGACTTCCTCTGGGAAGATACCCAGTAGTGGGATTGCTGGATCATATGGTAGATGTACTTTTAGTTCTTTAAGGAATGTCCGCACTGTTTTCCATAGTGATTGTACTAGTTTACATTCCCACCAGAAGTGTAAAATTGTCCCTTTTCACTACATCCAAGCCAACATCAATTTTTTAAAATTTTTTGATCATGGCCATTCTTGCAGGAGTAAGGTGGTATCACATTGTGGTTTTGATTTGCATTTCCCTGGTATTAGTGGTGGTGAGCATTTTTTCATACGTTTGTTGGCCATTTGTGTATCTTCTTTTGAGAATTGCCTCTTCATGTCCTTAGCCCAATTTTTAATGGGCTTTTTTTTCTTGCTAATTTGTTTGAGCTCCTTGTAGATTCTGGATGTTAGTCCTCTGTCAGAAGCATAGACTGTGAAGATTTTCTCCCACTCTGTGGGTTGTCTATTTGCTCTGCTGATTATTTCTTTTGCTGTGTAGAAGCTTTTTAGTTTAATTAAGTTCCATCTATTTATCTTTGTTTTTGCTGCATTTGCTTTTGGGTTCTTGGTCATGAAATCTTTGCATAAGCTAATGTTTAGAAGGGTTTTTCCAATGCTATCTTCTAGAATTTTTATAGTTTCAGGTCTTAGGTTTAAATCTTTTATCCATCTTGAGTTGACTTTGTATAAGGTGAAAGATGAGGATTCAGTTTCATTCTTCTACATGTGGCTTGCCAATTATCCCAGCACATTTGTTGAATAGGGTGTCCTTTCCCCACTGTATGTTTTTGTTTGCTTTGTTGAAGATCAGTTGGCTGCAAGTATGTGGCTTTATTTCTGGGTTCTGTATTCTGTCCATTGGTTTATATGCCTATTTTTATACGAGTACCATGCTGTTTTGGTGACTATGGCCTTACAGTATAGTTTGAAGTCGGGTGATGTGATGCTTCCAGATTTGTCTGTTGTTGTTGTTGTTTTGCTTCATCTTGCTTTGGCTATGTGGGCTCTTTTATGGTTCCATATGAATTTTAGGATTGTTTTTTCTAGTTCTGCAACGAATGATGGTGATATTTTGATGAGAATTCATTGCATTTGTAGATTGCTTTCGGCAGTATGGTCATTTTCACAATATTGATTCTACACATCCATGAGCATGGGATGTGTTTTCATTTATTTGTATTGTCTATGGTTTCTTTCAGCAGTGTTTTATAGTTTTCGTTGTAGAGGTCTTTCACCTTCTTGATTAGGTATGTTCCTAAGTTTTTGGTTTTGTTTTGTTTTGTTTTGTTTGTTTTGCTATTGTAAAAGGGGTTGGATTCTTGATTTGATTCTCAGCTTGGTCACTGTTGGTATATAGAAGAGCTACTGATTTTTGTACGTTAATTTTGTATCCTGAAACTTTGCTGAATTCACGTACCAGTTCTAGGAGCTTTTTTGGATGAGTATTTAGGGTTTTCTAGGTGTACAATCATGTCATCAGCAAACAGTGACGGTTTGACTTCCTCTTTACCAATTTGGATGCCCTTTATTTCTTTCTCTTGTCTGATTGCTCTGGCTAGGACTTCCAGTATTATGTTGAATAAAAGTGGCAAGAGTGGGCATCCCTGTCTTGTTCCAATTCTCAAGGGGAATGTTTCAGTTTTTTCCCATTCCTTATAATGTTGGTTGTGGGTTTGTCATAGATGGCTTTTATTACCTTAAGGTATGTCCCTTCTATGCCAATTTTGCTGAGGGTTTTAATCATATAGAGATGCTGTATTTTGTCAGATGCTTTTTCTGTATCTATTGAGATAATCATGTGATTTTTGTTTTTAATTCTGTTTATGTGGTGTATCACATTTATTGACTTGCGTATGTTAAACCATCTCTGCATCCCTGGTATGAAACCCATTTGATCAAGGCGGATTATCTTTTTGTTATGCTATTGGGTTTGGTTAGCTAGTATTTTGTTGAGGATTTTTTGGATCTATGTTCATTAGGGATATTGGCTTGTAGTTTTCTTTTTTTTTGTCATGTTCTTTCCTGGTTTTGGTATTATGGTAACACTGGTTTCATAGAATGATTTAGGGAGGATTCTCCCTTTCACTATCTTTTGGAATAGTGTCAATAGGGTTGGTACAAATTCTTCTTTGAATGTCTGATATAATTCATGTCTGGTCCTGGACTTTTTTTTGTTGGTAACTTATTAATTATCATTTCAATCTCGCTGCTTGCTATTGGTTGTTCAGAGTTTCTATTTCTTCCTGGTTTAATTTAGGAGAGTTGTATATTTCCAGGAATTTATCCATCTCCTCTAGGTTTTCTAGTTTATTGCATGGCACTTTTTGTGCCTTAGAAAAAGCATATCTTACTACAGGCTGAGGCAATCCAGACCAGGACATTAGGAAGCAGAGCATGATACAAAGTTCAGCCCCTACTAGGCCTCTCTGCCAAACCCCCTTTTGCCATGCACATTCTGGCTTAGTGGCCATACCAAAAACAAGAGTCTCATAGAGAGTGGGAGGCAAGGTGGTCTGAGAACATTTCCCTAAGGCCAAGGGACTAAAGGATGTTTTAAATGCAAATTGATTAACAGGGATGCCTCATGCTCACTTTTCAACTATCAGCATTTCCGTAATGTTCGCCCTTTGTCTTCTTCATTCCCCATCCAACTTCGGCAGAGTCTGCTGTAACTTGCAGAATCTTTGTGTAAGTAAAGCTTTATGTGAAATTGAAGGAAGGGGCTGAGTTTAAAACCTGGGTTGTACCCACACCAAAAGAGAGAGTAAGCTTAGAAATAGGAGCCAAAACAGTAATATGATCATAAACCTAAAGGATTCTCAGAATACCGGGGAAAGACTTCTACAGAGTAAGATGGTTTCAAGCCAGCATAAGCCTCAAGGATTCTCAGAATAATGGGGAAAGACTTCTACAGAGAAAGATGGTTTCAAACCAGCCACTTAATACAACAAAACACCAGGAGATCCCATGTGAAATCCTGGTGACACTCACAGAAATTAGGGAACAAAAATGCCAGAAACAACCGGGTCAACTAAGTTAATCTTATGTGTCAAAACTAAGCACAGGGCATGTCATATGTAATATGTTTACCCTGCTTTGTGAATGTATAACTAGGAGAATATTTACAATGCTATAAATATTGGATCACCTTAAATTATATGCTTATTGAATGCATTTACTGAACAAAATAAAATTCCCTAAAATGAAAGCCGTTCTAAAAATTTAGAATAGAGACCATATAAGGATCACTTGCAGGGAGTTCATGTTTATTATTTCTCTGTTTGTCATTTATTTGGTTGCCATATACTGTAACTTGCATGATGTGAATTGATGTGAGTGGTAACACTAACCTCTAAAATATAAGAAGGGCCCTTGGTCTTCCAATGAGGGCTACAGGTGACTGATAAACTGTGGTTGGTTTGGGGAGGTTTAAAATGATCAGCTCTAGGACTTAACAGCCATTAATGAAAAATTATATTCTGAAAAGTGCATTTATTTCAATAATCGGAGCATGAGTCTTAGAACAGATGATCCTTGAGAACTAAATCTGTACATTCAATAGAAAGCCATTACCAGGCAGGACAGCTGGATCACAGGGGTTTATGCCCTTGTTAAGACCAGAGATTTCAATCAGAAGGTGGGTTTCAGAAGTGGAAGTGATATCAATCTAGACGTCAAAGTCACACACACATCACACAAGCACATGCACAAGTTTGCATGCATACACACACACTTTCACCTGCACATACACGCACCTGGGCACAGACACAGAATGAATACATGTTTCCTAGGCAACAACTGCAAGTAAATTTCAGTGCCCAGTGTCAGGGAAACCTGTGCCCCTTATCACCCCTATATTCTCTATTCAATAGAAAATTGCACTTCCACCTCTCAGTCTGAAATCCCAGCCTTATTCAGTATCGCTGTAGCCTACATTTTCTGTGTCATCTCTCAGTTCTCCCCTGTTCCTCATCGAAACTAGACTCATCAACATTCAGTAAACAAGTTGTGTCATTTCTTCACTCTAGGGTTTTTCAAACACTCCTGCCTATGCCTGGAGCACTCTTTGCTTCCATTTCCATCAGCTGGAATCTAGTCAACCTCAGAGATGCATTCAAAGCCCCCTCCTATATTTGGACTTTCCAAGAGACAGCTAAGGGAGCCTCATTTCTATTCTAACCTAGGAAATGCCTTGATAACCCACATTAGCTAGGAGGGGAGAGGTTGGCTGCTCAACTCCATGCCTCCCACAAAATCACTGGCAAAGGCTACCTCCAACACTGAATGTGATTGCAATTATTGTAATTAATAAGAACTCTTTTTGAGTACTAAGCCTATATTGGGTTTTATGTCTTATTCTAAAGAAAGAAATTTCACTGATCTATTCCATAAAGTTAAGACCCCATATCATTTATCGTGATCTCCCTGGTTCTTAGATCAGTATCCAACACATAGTAAGCAAAAAGGAAATGCTTGAAGAAATAAAAGAACAAGTGAAAGAAAGTCAAACTTAGGTTTTAGCTGAATGACAACTTGAGAAAGAAGGAGGGTATAAGTACACTGACAATTTGACAATATTCATTAAAAATCTTGTTCTAACCCAAATAATGCTACTCATGGAATAAAACACATTTTCTAGAAGCATCATTTGTCTGTTCCACAGTTGTTCACCAAACAAACAAGCACCTGCAAAAGTCTAACTATTATGAAGAAAAGTAATTTTAGTTGGAGTGCAAATTATATGGTACATGGACTTTCATAAAACAGTTTGTTCCAAGAAAATACTTGCAGGAAAATATTTTCTAAAATAACTAACAATGAATTAAATATAATGCTTCAAGAGAACCTTGGAATCCTCAGGTGAGATCCAGGTTGAAAAATATGATGACCTCACACAGATGACCCACTCAGAACACACTGACCCCGTAATGGTTTTTTTCCTTCTGACCATAGAGGGAAAGACAGAATTAAGCAGTCTGCATCTGCATTGAGACAAGACTTCTTTTAGGATAAATCTGAAATATTTAGATATTCCTTCTTTTTGAAACAACTAATATTCAGGAATACAGATAGGGAAAAATAGGTGAACAAAGGTCATGGTTTTCAAATTTGAGAAATATGTGGACCACTTTTAAAGGTTAAACAATTTTGAAACCCTAAGACTATTTCTTCTGATTGTCAGTGTGGAAGACACTCAACTAATAGTTGAAGGCTCTTTTCAACGTAGCTGACTTAGCAGGAGGGTGCATCCTTCTTCCTTTCAGCTGCCAAGAATATGAATATGACTCTACAAGGAGCTCTGGCCTCGTGAGTGGGCATTCAGAGGACCTGAAGACAAGATCCTTCCCTAGGAGGGCAGAGAAGTGTAGTCAGGGTGATGAACACAGGCTGCTCTAACAAATATGCCCTTCTTAGTGTCTTAACCATCTAAAGGAGGTCAGGCAGCTCTTTTTTTTTTTTTTTTTTTAAGATGGAGTTTCGCTGTTGTCACCCAGGCTGGAGTGCAATGGCACAGTCTCAACTCATTGCAACTTCTGCCTCCCATGTTCAAGCAATTCTCCTGCCTCAGCCTCCCAAGTAGCTGCGATTACAGGCCCCTACCACCATCCCGAGCTAATTTTTGTATTTTTGGTAGAGATGGGGCTTCACCATGTTGGCCAGGCTGGTCTCCACCTCCTGACCTCAGGTGATCTACCCACCTCGGCCTCCCAAAGTGCTGGGATTACAGGCATGAGACACTGTGCTCTTTTTGACAGCTCTCCTCCCAAGGGTGATTCAGGTCTCAGAGGTTTCTGTGAAGCTGCCAGATACAATACATGTCCTCCAAAGTCTCTTTAAAAGAAGAGGGGAAAAAAATGAGCCAATGACTATGACCTCACAGGCATGTTAGGGCCAGGCCTAGAAGTAACATAAACTATTTCTACTCATATTTAATTGTACAGAACCAGTCACAAGGCACTAACTCATGAGCGAGGCTGGGAAATGCAGATTATTCTATGTTTCCAGGAAGACGAAAGGAGATTGATGAGCACCAAACTAGTCTCTGTTACCATCAAAAGATAGAGGAGGTCCTGGACTGCCAGCCTGTAGAATTTTCTGTGGGAGAGAACAACACTTCCACCTTGGGAGACATCTCTGTTAGTCAGAAGTCTAATATGCACAGTTAAGCTGTTAAGTGGTGTGGATATGAAAAAGAAGGCTGCTACTTCAGAACTGTCCCCAGCAGCAGGCAGTACATTGATGTTGGCTCCTTCCCACTGGGAGGGCACCAACTTCCTGCTGCATGGCCTGCTGGGAAACAAGATGGTGCTCCATGGCCTGCTGGGAAACAACATGCCCTGGGGCATCATGGGGATTTGAACACTTGAATGATGACTGCCTGAGTCAGGTCGGGAGTCTACAACAAATTACATTACCAAAGACTGGGTGGCTTAAACAACAACCATTTATTTCTCACAGTTCTGACTCCACCCCAAAAAATAGAATATACATTCTTCTCATCTGCACATGGCACATGCTCTACAGCTGACCATACGCTCAGCCCTAAAGCAATTCTTGACAGATTCAAAAGAACTGAAATCATACCAACCGCACTCTCAGACCACAGTGCAATGAAAATAGAAATCAGTACCAAGAAGATCATTCAAAACTATACAATTAAATGAAAATTAAACAATCTGCTCCAAAATGACTTTTGGGTAAAAAATTAAATTAAGCCAGAAATCAAGAAATTCTGAGATTAGGATGCCAACATGGCTGCATTCTGGTGAGAACCCCCTACCAGGTTGTGGACTTCTTTCTTTTTGTTGTATCCTCACATGGTGGAAAGACAGCGAGCCAACCCTCTGGCTTCTGCTTAAAAGGCCACTGGTCCCATTCATGAGGGCTCCACCCTCACGACCTAATCTCTTCTCCAAAATTCCATTTACTAATACCATCTCCATGCGGTTCCAAGATGTGAATTTTGGAGGGACATAAACATTTAGTTAGACTATTGCAGTGACAGAGCACAGTGCTATGGTGCATGGGTCATCATGGATTGAACTATTTCATGGTAACTCTGAGCAGTCACTATGATCAGGAATTAGGAGAGAAAAGGGGATTTATCGATGTTTTCTCCAAAACATTCATACAAGTCCAGGCTTTTCCCAGCTACCTTATTGTAGTGACTATATAACTTGGAGCAACTATAAGGAGGAAATAAAATATTATAATCTAATCTATTCCAATGGTTTTCAATCTTACAGTTTGCCTTTTCTAATTACAAAGTCTAATCAACAGAAAAAACTTAGAAAACAAAACAAAATTACAAAGAAAACAAAATCCCCTATAATCTCACCATTAAGAGACCATGTCTGTGAAAATGTTGACACGGGTTCACCAGAGTATGGGAGTATTGGTACACATGCTTATAGGAAGACAAACTGACTAAACAAATTAACTTGTAGCTTTCTCACAATATTTCACAGAATTATTTACATCTCCATCAAATTGTTCCCCAAAAAGTGTACTTTGAATAATGCTTAACCGTGTTAATTTTGTATATGAACCATATCTTAATTTTTAAATGTCCTAATTTAATGCCTATAAAATAGGCTTTTTTACTTTTAATCATTTCTGTTTTTAATTTTTGTTGTTGTTCCTTTTATCTTTCAATGAAGAAAATTATGACTCTCCTGCTTATCTTGTTGAGGTTATGAACAATTTTGGGAGGAGGAGTGAAATTGTTTATAAATACTTAAAACATCAATGATGAGGTAATGATGAGTATGTTACCACATCATTTGATGTTTTAAGTATTTATAAAGTAAAATTTAAGTTTATAAAATTAATTCTTTCAGCTGAAAGTTAATTCTAGAGTTATTAGAAATAATAATTCTGGAATTATTATTAGAAAGAAATTAAGACATAAATGATTTATTTCTAATAATTGGAGTTATTAAAATTATTCTGCAATTATTAAAAATAAGGGGTCTGATGTTAATATTCTAGGTAAAGAGATAATGCCTATGAAAATGTTTCAAAATCTTGGGAAGGTAAAAGCCAGTATAAGTGATTGTGATCTAATTATTACCTCTCTTTGATCAAGTTTAGTAGCCTCAATAGCCTCAGTGAATTCTTTATAATTTACAAACTCCTATTTAGTTATAAAGTCTCTTCCAAGAATGAAAGGTTTGTGTGAAATCACATCATCAGGAAAACAGTTATTTTCCACATTCACAGAAGTGCAGTACGAGAGCGTATGTCTGCTGGTGGTTGTTATTTCTGTGTATTTTGCCCAATTGCTTTCCTCTGGTGCTGGGCCAAATCCCTTGTAAAGAGGAGAGTGAGGCATATGTGCATTAGTGAGACCTTTATTACCTTGTGTCTCAAATGGTAAAGCCCTTTCAATAGCATGATGTTGCCAAAGAATATATTTAAGGGAATTTAACAATTATAAAGCCACTCCTCAAGTATCCAAGAGGTAGTTTTAAAAACTGATGTGCACTGGAAATGACTAAGAATAAATACTCAATGCTGAGGCTTACCAGCCCTATGAAGAATGAGGATTCATGTAATTATGTAAAGATGCACCCACACCACCAAACACGGTCACTTGGGGTGGACACTTGCTTGGTTCTTAGAGTTCAGGAATCCACTGACACCCATCCCCATGAATGACCATGGATCAAACATATGTGAGGCATCATCAGTCATCACACAAAAAGAGTGAAGTGAGAGCTTCCATGTGCACCAAGAGGAAAAATCCAACCAGGAGAAATAAGTCCTCTTTGGGGATGGATTCCTCATTCACTTGCTCTCTGACGAGGTCGAGTTCATATCGGATTTCAGAGACACACAGAACACAGAAGCACTGCACAAAATGAGATTTCTCAACAGAAGAAATCAAGATGAACCTTCCAAGGCTCATAGTCTGCCCCAGTGATCTCTCCTTGTTCTGTGGGGAGGGACCATTCAGAAAAGCAGTGCCTGGGCAGGTGTGCTCGGCGCTCTCTTTGTGGTTAATAAGGGAGCGGAAGGTCATGGAATGGAGATGTGTTCGTTGCATCATGACTCCAGCTGTACCCTTGGCCTGCGGGATTAGGACTCAGGAGCTACGATTCCACAACCCTTACTGTTCTTCGTGTTGTTTGATTTTTCAAGGAAAGTAAAATACCAAAATATTGGATGAAATCCCACAATGTTTTAATATTAGGAGATAAATTAATAAAAATGTTCTAGAGAAATCCCTTTGCTGTCCAAAGTCTGATAGGGTTGGATTTATACACTGAAGTGCATGTGTCTTTTTGCTTTTTTTCCCTCATAAGTGAGATGAATTAAATAAAAACAACATTCTTAGATGCAGAAAACAAGATTCACTTTTGTTGAAGCAGCAAGAATGTATTGTGAGAGGAAAATATCTTGGACCCCATCAAGTTGGGAACTGCTCAGGGCAAATATGCCTCCTATTCAAAGTCACCCCTCTGCTCACTGAGATAGATGCATGTCTGATTGCCTCCTTGGAAAGGCTGATCAGAAGCTCAAAAGAATGCAAAGGTTCATTTCTCTCTCACCTATCTGTGACCTGGAAGCCCCCTTCTGGCTTCCTGGCTTCCTGCCTTTGCTTTGAGTTGTCTCGCCTTTCCAGACCGAACCAATGTACTTCTTACATGTATTGATCAATGTCTCGTGTCTCCCTCAAATGTGTAAAAGTAGGCTTTGCCCTGACCACCTTGGGCACATGTCGTCAGGACTTCCTGAGGCTGTGTCATGGGCTCGCATCCTCAAACTTGGCAAAATAAACTTCCTAAATTAACTGAGACCTGTCTTAAATTTTTGTGGTTCAGAGTATTAAGGGATATGAAGAGGCTCACAGCATTGTTGGAGTCAATGGAGAGATAGATTTTAGTCTGAGCTTCTGGGAACACCCCCAACACCAGAACCCCTTCCTAAGACCTGCTTGCTAACAGACTCTCAATGTCTCTGACATAAGGGGGAAGCACCCAGCACTACCCATGACTCCAGAAATATGTTACTTCAGACATCTATAACTGCAGAACAGATGCTCTGTGCTTTTTCTCTCTGCTGCTCAGTCATGCCTCATGCTGAGGTGTCTGAATGGTAGAAGCAAGTTCATGTGTTCATACCCTTGTGTCAGAGAAACTGGGAACATCTTTTTTCTGCATGTTGTGTTAGGAATGTCAATTCACAGCAGCGGATACTACCAAAATATACAGCTGGAAACTGTGGAATATACTGATACCTGGCTGCCAAAACCCAGTGCCACTTTCTTCTGGGCACACAGCTCTACTGCATGTTCCAATCTCCTTTGTAGCTTGACAAATTCATGTACCTAGGTTCTGTCTAACGAATGTGGCAGAAGTCGTGTGTGTTACTTTTAGACATAGTTCATAAAATCTTCCCACATAATCCACTTCCTGGTTTGTCTCCCCACCACCTGGTGAGATATACAGAACTCAGCCGAGGACAGTTAAGACCCTGGGGGGTAGAAGGACCCTAGGGGGTAGCAGAGCCCTAAAATGAAAGGAACCTGGAACCTCAGTGGCTATGTGGAGCAGAATTCCCCTTAATCCTGCAACTAACTGGACTCTGTCTGGGTTAAGCCACAGAGGTTTAAGGGTGTATCTGTGTCTGCAGCTAGCATTAATTTAAACTAATAAATGGCAGACCCAAATAGTGATTAAATGTCCCTTAGCTAAACACTATGCCCTCAACTTCGAATTAAAGTTTTAATCATACAAATTACAGGTAGCTTTTGATATGGTTTGACTCAAATCTCATCTTGAACGGTAGTTCCCATAATCCCCATATGTCATGGGAAGGACCCAGTCAAAGATAACTGAATCATGGGGGCAGTTACCCTCATGCTGTTCTCCTGATAGTGAGTGAGTTCTCACAAGATCTGATGGTTTTATAACAGAATTTTCCACTCTTGCTTGGCACTTCTCTCTCTGGCCGCCATGGGAAGAAGGACATGTTTGCTTCCCCTTTCACCATGATTGTAAGTTTCCTGAGGCCTCCCCAGCCATATTCAACTGTCAGTCAATTAAACCTCTTTCCTTTATAAGTTACTCACTTTTGGGTATGCCTTTATTAGCAGTGTGAGAATGGACTAATACAGCTTTGGAAGAATAATCCTGATTGTCCCTCAATTACAGAAATCTATAGGTTTATAGGTTTATAACTATAGGTTTAGAAATCTATTAGTGTTCAGTCTTTACCCCAACACAGCAAATATTTATGAAGATGACAGTGCTATGAAGTATGAGTCACCCAATGAACAGGTTTCTAAATGCAATAGAATAAAATGTTGAACACCACACCAACCCAAACCCTTATAAAACCTTGTAAAATCTCTGTTAAGAAAATGCACCAAACTCACTTTATAACCTGCTCTATTAGGTTTTAAGATGTTTGCATATTTTAAAACTTTCATGGTAGAAAAAAAATCATTTCTTTTTCTTTATGGGTCATTTAGTTTTCTGCATGTGAAGTTAAAAAGAAAGAGAGAGTGAAAAACTGACATTTACTCTAATACGTTACTTGATATAAATATGTATGAATCTCAAATACATTCTTCCCATGAATACAAGAAAAGTGAACTCAGAGTGTTTCTTTCCTCCAGGCCCCAGGAAAGCTGGCTGTTATATATTCATTGTTGATCTTTCCTGTGGATGAAATTTCTACTTCAATTGTTCTCTTTGAGGCCATCCAGATACTAATTTCTAACTGCATTTTAGGAATCAAAGATACTAATCCAGATACTAATTTCTAACTGCATTTTAGGAACCAAAGGGAATATCCTCAAGAGGTTGAAAATATTTTTTTAAATGTCACGTGTAATTGTTAATGATGTTTTCAAGGCTGACCCTTCACAATCGAGAAAACAGTGGCCTCTGCTTGCCTCTAATCTTCTACTCTCTGATCTTTTGTGCTTGGGTGGATAGGGAAGTGGCAACATTTTGAACTTATCCAATGAGATCGCCAGCTTTAAGACAGCCTCATGAGTAAGATCTCTAATTCTGGATTTAGAAGGTTTGGGTATAAACCCTGACCTCACCACTAACATGCCCTGTGACCCAGGGTAACTCACTCACCTTCTCTAAACCTTAGTGTCATCATCTATAAAATGGTAAAACCAAAGACTATTGGGTTGATTCAACACATAAAATATGTAGAGCACTATCTTGGGTGCCCCTTTTTTTCTAGCTCAGACATTATTTTCTTTGAACATGAAAATATTTTAAAATATCTTTGTACATTTAAATCCCAGAGTAGCATTGGCACAGGCAGCTCCGTTTGTATGAGTCTCTAGGGAAAAGAGTCAAGAAGTATTTAAAGGAAGGTTTTCTTCATTCTTCCTTTGTTTTAAGAACCTATAACAGGCCCAGGATTAGGTACAAAGTAAAGATACCTAAAATACTTCCCTGATACCAGCAAGTACATTTTAGCGACTTGGGGATATCTTTTAGTGTCCTGTTTTCTTCTCTTGGTCTACCTTCCCTCCCAAAATTGTCCTCAAGATGCCATTATTTCAAAGAAATTTCTGTACATTCCATAGTCCATAGACCAGAGAGACAGGCATGGGGAAAAAAAAAAACAATCTATTGTTTATGAGGGAAAAAAATGGTGCAAAATTATTTACCATAATGCCTTGGAGATTTGGACACATGGATAATAAAACATTAAATAGTGAAATAGCAGCTTTCCTTAGAGTTTCTACCTCTGATCATTTAACTAAGGCCAGGGCTATGACAAATCCCTGAATCATTCCTGTGGAATTAACATAAATACATTCTCCTACTGGAGACAGTGGAGAATGCAATTCAAACGATGGATTCTTTTAAAAGTATCAGACTACTTTCCTCAGGAGAAAACGAGAATCAAGATCTTGTCCTACATAATAGTGATCACAAAGGCTCAGTGGAAAGGTGGCCGAAAAAATAAACACAACACTTCCTCTATATCACCAAATGTAAATTAAAGATGGAAGGAAAAGTCAGTAAAATGAGTTATGAGAGCTCAGAACTTTGCCTAAGGGAGGATTTTAAAAGAGTTTGAATTCATCAGCTCTTGCCTTTAAATAAGTTCTAAAGCAGTGGTTACCTCTGAGTCAGCTTCTGGAGTTTCTGGAGATAAAACAATTAAGCTTAAAGACAAAATTGAGAAATCAGGGGGACTTTAGAATTTCCAAATATATGTATATTTGGGTAATATTATATAGTTAAAACTTACACAGATTTTTAAATTTTTAAATAGCAGGGTACTTTTTTCCTAGGAACAATGGAAAGTACCTTACTTGTGCTCATGTCAAAAGAGTTAGCAACCTACATTATGTTGTAAATTCAATTAAGTAGGATTAGTTCAAAATGATGATTCATGCAGAATTCCTCATCAATCACTATAATCTGAGATCAACTATACCTTGACATGTCTAACATGAGATTTGTTTAGCCAAGAAATGAACATTTTGGATGTCTAAACTAATTTAAGTCAATAAGCCTTTGAGAAAAATTGACAGGTTGACATATAAGTAATAATAATAATAATAATAATAATAATAATAATACATTGTCTTCCCACATTGCCTGCGTGCACATCATGCCTCCACCTTCTCCCTGTGACTAATCTCAAACAGCACATTCAGCCAGTGCCTCACCTCTGCCATCTGTTAAATGGGGATGATGGTGTCAGCTGCGAGAATGAAGGGAGCTAACGCATGTGAAGTTTTTCTACCTATGCCTGGCCTGGCACATTTAAGCACCATGTAGGGGTGAACTAGTATTGATATTATTATTATTATTTTTTTTTTTTGCACAAAGGTTCTGCTGTTTAGATTTCCCTGGTCCTTCTGAAAATGAATCAAGTTAAAATTGAACTTTACCTCTACCACTTAGGCAGTTTTCATGCACTTAGTTTTCCCTTCCCCAAATTCATTTCCTCCTACAAACATTCTCCTCCCAATAAATGGCTCCATCTGCCATTCAATTGTGCAGCACAGAATCTGGGGACATGACTAGCCAGGTAGCTAACGTAAATAAGTGAAATGGGTTTCATAGATTCCTCAGGGGCATTCTTCTTTGCATAATCCTGGCAGGAATATTCCTCACCAAATATTTTTTGCTTCCCCATATTGGAAATATACCCGGAACCCAGCCACAACTCCTCACTTTCTCTAACACTGCCCTGGTGCCCTGTCCTCACCTCCATCCTGGGGACAGTACAGCCTCCTCCTGCTCCTCTTTCTCCATGCAGCTGCTTCCCAAAGTAGCCAGAGAGGCCTGGGAAGCAGGAATTGCCTCACACCTTCTCACTGCTCAGAAACCTCCCTTGCCTTTTCTCACACTCAGACCAAAATTCTAAGGAGGCGTTTAGGACTGTACTAACCTGCACCTGCCACACTTCCTGCCTCACCCCCTGCCACTCCTTTACCTGTCCACCGCCCTTCTCTCCTCTAACCTCTTTCTCTTCCTGTAATGGCCTCAAATAGTCTATTGCCAGATTTGCTTATTTTTCTCTCATTTTTTATAGATCTACCTTCCAATATCATTGACTTAAAGTCCACTCTGTGTAAGAAAACTCTTCTTATCCTCAGTTCCCTATCACACCACACTGCTTTGGTCTTCATACCACTGATCACTTCCTAAGCCTTACCAGCTGAAGGATTTTGAGTGAGTTACTAATCCCTTCTGTGACTTCCTTTTCTATCTTTAAAGGGCAGATCATATCAGTACCTATTGTAGAATTATTTTGAGGATTAAATGAGTTAACATATACGAAATACTCAGAAAATTGCTTGTCTCATAGGAGACTACATTAGAGTATTAATCATTGCATTTTCTTTGAGCCCTGATGGTCTCTGCTTCTCCATAAGGATGGGGACCTTGCTGAATTCACCACTGTGTTCTCAGCATCTAGTATCATGCTTGGCATGTAGGAGATGCTGCATATACAAATGTGGAAAGATAAAAGGAAAGAACAGGACATGATAAAGCAAATTGCAAGGTAGAAACACAAACGTGTTAATCAGGAGCTGTATGTGGAACCCTGTGGCAGATTAAATACAGCCTTTAAAACAAAGATGGCCATGGATCTTACAATTGCCCCCAAAGTCATGGCAGCCTTGTTTGATGTTTCCTCCTTTTACTTTTATCTGTATCTTTTTAAACAAATCTTGTCTATTGAGGAACAGCACATTGACAAAGAAAGGAATAAACAGAAGATTCTCATTAGCACAAGACAGGTTTAGTCTTTCTGCAACTCTTATTTCCCTATTTCATACCTATCGATATATTCTATAAAATGCAATCATCAGTCCCAAATAATACAATTCCTCATGTTCCCAGACACTGGACATTCTGCAAAGTAGAGATAGAATAAACTCCAATTTTGCCAAACCCTAGGGAAGGTAATCCACTACCATTTTTAACTTGATCTGCCAAATGAGATCCCAACAACTTACTTAAAAACATGTTATCCCCAAATAATCATTTATGTGGTTCTTGAGCCAAAAGAGATCCCAAAAACTTACTTAAAAATATGTTATCCCCAAATAAACATTTATGTGGTTCATCTAAGCTTAGACGAGCAGAAAGAATAAGAAAACCTCCAACATTGACCTCAACCTACATGTATGTCCATCCCAATGTCTGTTTCACGAACCCTGTGTTCAGGTGAAGCTGGAAAGCTCTGGAATCTGACTGGACTGGATGCTCTCTGGGGTCCCTTGGTCTCTAGACACAGAAGCTGTGGGCCAGACATCTCCAGTTCGAGTGCTTACAAGAAGCTGGCAAAGAATATAACTGAGTGGAACATTCTGGTCGTTCTAAAGAAACACTGTTATTGGCATGCAAAAGATTCAGGGATACTCTTTACTTTCACAAAGAATTATAAGTTCTACTTCTTTTCTGGAAACAATTGGCCCTCTTACTCTGGCTTTTCTTCATCTATTTTGGATAAGAGACATGGGGAAAAATCCACTTTCCTCTGAAATCTCTTTCAAGTAAAAGAAGAACCTTATATAAAAGTAGATACACAGACCAATGGAACAGAATAGACAACCCCCCAAGAAGGCCAAATACTTACAACTAACTGATCTTTGACAAGGCGTACAAAAACATAAATTGGGGAAAGGACACCCTATTCAATAAATGCTGCTGGGAGAATTGGATAGCCATATGTAGAAGAATGAAACTAGAGCCATATCTCTCGCTATATAGAAAAATCAACTCTAGATGGATTAAAGATTTAAATCTTAAGACTTGAAACCATAGAAATTCTAGAATAAAACCTAGGAAGAAACTCTTCTGGATATTGGCCTAGGCAATGAATTTGTAACTAAGACTCCAAAAGCAAATGCAACAAAATAAACAATAAATAAATGTGACCTAAACTATAAAGATTCTGCACAGCAAATAAATAATCACCAGAAAAAACAACCTATAGAATGTGAGACAATATTTGCAAATTATATATCCGACAAAGGGCTAATATCCAAAATCTACAAGGAACTCAAAAAAAAAGCAAGAAGAAAATAAACAATCCCATGAAAAAGTGGGCAAATGACATGAATAGACAATTCTCAAAAGAGGATATACAAATGGCCAACGAACATGAACATCACTAATCATCAGGGGAATGCAAATTAAAACCAAAATGAGATACTACCTTACCCCAGGCAAAATGGCCATTATTAAAAAGTCAGAAAACACTAGATATTGGAATGGATGTGAAAAATCAGAATAAAAAAGAGAAAATAGCACTTAAATAATAGATGATACAATAGTACTAGTATAGACTCATTAAGCACATACTGTGTCTCAGACCCTATTCTAAGGATTTTATTGATATATTCACAACTTGTGAAATAGGTATTGTCACATCCTATGAATGAGGAAACTGAGGCACAGTGTGGAAATGAAAAACTCAAAGGAAGAATAAGTAGCTGTATATCGTTTAGGCCAGAAGCAGAGAATGATTGATTAGCTGCTAATGATTGATCTAAGACCTCAGTGGGATCTTAGATCATGCTTGACATTAAAACAATGCTTCACTATCAGGTATGTCTGATTTTCCATGTAATTGATCACTTCACTTCCTTCACCCAACCTATGAGAAAGTTTGCTCAGGGACTCCAAGTCCTCATGAGAGGATCTATTGCTGATTATAGAGCCAAGTGAAATGAGAGCTGGGTGTTGTGTTCCACCCTTTTCACTCCTCGAGGTTCTCAAGCTCAGATTGACCTCTTCACATCCTCATCTTCAGTCTTCACCCTGACGATGCCCTTTTGACTCTCCATATGGGCAGAAGCCAAAGTTTTTATTTAACAGCCCATTCTAACGGCCCATGAATGCCAACTTTTTATATCTATGCAGTCTTCTCTTTTGCCTCCAATGCTCAGAATGTTTATTTCACGAAGGTCTTATCATTACCATCTTGCTTCCTAGAAATCAATGTAATATCATCCAAGCAAAATGTCATGAACTTGTCATTTGAATAACTGTGACTCTAGAGCTCCAAAGTTTGAGAAATCTTGCTGCTGAAGGCGTTTTCCTCTAACAGCTCCATAAAGTGGACATGAATATTAATAGTTGGTTGTAAAATGGTCAGTTTTCAGGTTGCTGGATGTGGCATCAGGTTGCCAAATGATGACTGATATGTCCAAGGTCTTTTGTTGTGAGAGAGGAAGGATGTCTTGGGAGGACCAAGTGATTCCCACAAAGCACGTCACACCAAAAACATGCCTCTTGGGCAAAGTCTGGAGAGGGGTCAGCTTCTAAGGTTGACAGCGAGCTGCAGTGATTGAGTCCCAGTGTTGTGTAAAACTCATCCACCAAATGTTTGAGTCCCTCCTCTGTGGGAGGCACTGTTCAAGACATGAGGCTATAGCTGGGAGCAAAGCAAATGAAAAACCCTGACTTCATGAAACAAATGAAAAACTCTGACTTCATGAGTGTTCATGAAGCTCTTATTTTAGAGCTATATTCAAGAAGACAGAGAAGGTAATGGAAAGTCAATAAAGTAACATATTTTCCATGGTATGAACACAAACATAAAAAATTAAGCAAGAAGGGGGATAGGAATTTTGGTGGGGGACATTGAGTTTATGTAACCTAACTAGAAAATTCTCCCCTAAAAAGGTGTCTGTTGTGGACTGAATATTTGTGTCTACCCAAAATTAATATGTTGAAACTGAATCCCTGATATGATACAGGCCTTTCTATTGCAAGCAAGTAACAGAAATTGATGGGATGTGTAAACAGGAGGAAGAGAACAAGAATAAAATTTTATGATTACCCCAGCGAGTCCTGTAGGGAGAATCAACTTCTGTGCCCCACACCCAGGCCTCTTCCCTCAACCCCCATCTCCTCCCACCCGTGGAGGATGATACCCCATTCCATGGGCAGAAGGAGATGGGGGTTCAGGGAAGAAGGGTGGAGGTTGGGGCACAGAATCTGCTGCTGTATCATGGGAAGCCATGGATGGTACCCGTTTAGAGACTTCTCCATGGAGGTCTTGCTATTATCATTTTTATTTATGATTTAGCCCTCATTTTTTCTTTCGTTCATTAATTGACTACTAAGCCACTGACCATGATTGGACCATGGGCCATGGAATGTCTTATTTTGTAATTAGTAGAGTCAAGCCCATTCATCTACCAGTTGATATTTAATATCTGAAGTACATGCAATTATCATGCTAGGAAAAAAAGAAAATATGTGCCTAATTGTATTTTTATATTTAAAAATTGTTACTTCTTTCTTAGCTCCAGTACTTAAGCTGAAAATTATTAAATTCCTCACTGTCTTATCAACTCTTAATATAACAAATAAAAGGACACTCCCAAGGAAGACTTACCCTGAACTCATCAATAAATCGTAAGAAGCAGCTGTGGGAATCACTTCTATTCTATTAGGGGAATGTAGAATACTGATTTCTTTCTTTTTTTCTAAAAAAAAAAAAAAAAAACAACCTGAAATTCAATTTTCCAAACTGTCCAGAAATTACTCTCAGAATTCAACCATAGGGAAAGGTAAATAAGAAAAAGAATAAATACGTTGCACAATGAAAGAAAAAAAAATGGGATTCCAACCAACAGCATTGACTTTACATTTTAGAGGAAATAAGAGTAATTGAAAAGCACATTTTTTTTTTCAGTGATAAACTGCCAAGTTAAAGCAGCTACATAAAAAGACAAAAGATATAACTCTGGAGACACACCTTGACTGCACATTGATCTTGAAGCCTATAAGACTATCTTCTCAACCACAGGCAAGCTACCATCTTGGAAGTTCCTGGATATCGTTTTTCTTTTTACAGAGAGATCTCATCTTAGGAAACAAAAATATATAAATTAAAAATGAAGGCCAGGCACGGTGGCTCACCCCTGTAATCCCAGCAGTTTGGGAGGCCAAGGCGGGTGGATCACTAGGTCAGGAGATAGAGATTACCCTGGCCAATATGGTGAAACCCCGTCTGTACTAAAAATACAAAAAATTAGCTGTGCGTGGTGGTGGGCACCTGTAGTCTTAGCTACTTGGGAGGCTGAGGCAGGAGAATCGTTTGAAGCGGAGGTTGCAGTGAGCCAAGATCGCACCGCTGCACTCCAGCCTGGCGACAGAGAGAGACTTCTTCTCAAAAAAAAAAAAAAAAAAGAAAGAAAGAAAAAAGAAAAAGAAACCTCACAGGTAACATAAAATGAGTGCTGCTTGCGTTAAAGTTATTCAGGCAATATTTTTTGCTGTGTTGGTTTGTTGGGTTTTCGTTTGTTTTAGCAGTTTCAAACAGAAGCATTCATTCCTCACAGTTTCTGTAGGTCAGTAGTCAGATGCAGGTGACTTACTTGTGTGCTTCGGGCTATAGCGCCCTCATGAGGTTCAGTCAGGTGGGTGTGGCTGTGGATCCAGGTTTATCGGAAAGCTCTACTGGGGGAGACCCAGTTCCCAATGCATTCTGTAGCTTCAGGGCGTTCAATTTCTCACGGGCTGTTGGACTGAGGACCTTAGTTCCCCATTGACTGGAGCCTGGAGGCATCCTTTGGTTTCGAGTCCCATGAACCACTCTGTAGGGCAGCTCGCAACATGGCAGTTGGCTTCCCTCAGAATGAGCGAGTAAGAGAAGGGGGAGTGAGAGAAGAGGCACACAGCATGGAGCCACTGCCTGTTCTTTGCTGCTTGAAGAAGTCTCATTTGCCTTTTCAAACGGAATGAATTCATTAACCAGAGAGCCTTGAACCCATATCACTATTATGTTCGGAACTAATAATGATGAATCTTAGCCATCCATACCCACTTTATTCTATCAAATGTCAGATTCACACCACTGGAGGGATGTGAGCTATTCGTACTTTTGGTGGCTGTCACAGTTCAAGACTTTTAGTTGCTGTCTGATGACTCATTAGGCAATTTCATTTCCAGTTCTCTTTCAATACCTCATGTGACTGTAAGAAAAAAGACTCATTTTAACGCTGGTATATTCATTAAACCTCTCTTACGCTAGAAAATCTTTTTAACAAAGAGGTCTTAGGTAAGGAAATTTGGTAGGCAACCAAATATAGGTAGGATTTAATATTATTTGGGGGGATTTAATAATTTGGAGGGAGGTTTGCTTTTTAAGTGATTCTGATTTTCCATTTCTGGTAGCAGTAGAAAATTTCTTTTTAAATATATTTATTTATATGCAGTCAAAAGCACATAGTCTCAAGACTGCTTTTTGCGTTGAATATTATATTTATGATATACTGCCATTATTATGTATAGTTAGATATCTTTAAATCTCATTATTGTGTATTCTTCCATTATGTAAGTATATTACATTGTATTTATTCTATTGTTCATGCTGCTTTCTTTTCTTTACATGTAGAGCTACTGTGGGCATGCTAGATCATAAATTGCATGTACTTCTAGGTTGTATGTGTACCTTGGAGTGGAGTTGCTGGGTCATAGGATATGCATATGTGCAAGCATTGATAGATATTTCCAAAGAGTTTACTAAAGTGATGTACCGACTACAGGGTATGGGTACAGCAATATAAGGAAACTTTGGTTGCCAGCATTTTGCATATTTGTCTTTTTCGTGTTAGTCATTGTGGTGAGTCTATAGAGATATTGTATTGAATTTCCTTGGTGAAGGTTGAGAACGTATCATGTGATTAGTAGTCATTTGGACAGCCTCTTTGATGAGGAACCCCTTCATAGCATTTCCTCTTTCTTCTATTTGATTGTAAGCAAAGAATCAGTGTAGATGTTACTCTTGGAGGGGAATTGGTGACTGGGAAGGGGTGCATGGTAATGTTCTGTTGCTCGTTCTGGATATGTGGAATTTGTAAAATGTAAGCTGTGCAACTTGTCTGTGTTCTTCTACTTCAAAAACATCTAAAAATTGAAACGGAAATTATTTTTAAGAAAAAATATTGAGTTCACTTCAGGAATAAAACATTAACAACAGGATAGGAAGTTCACAGTTATGAATAAACTCTTGAGTGGCATGATAAAAAAAATATGGTGGGATTACCTAAATCACTGGAGTCTGGGGACCACTGTCTGGGCACTACAGCCCTCATGAGCTCCCGAGCTCATGCTCAGTGAAGCGATGGCGCTAAGTCCCACATGTGTTTGTGGACCATCCTATGCTGCAACATATCTGGAGATGGGGCCTTTGAGAGGGAATTAGGTTTGGATGAGGTCAAGAGGTTGGGGCCATGATGAGGAGATTAGTGCCCTTATAAGAAGCAACAGCAGAAAGCTTGCTCTCTATCTCTCTTCACCGTGTGTGAATAGAGTGACAAGGTGGCCATCCACAAGCCAGGAAGAGAGCCCTCATCAGAAATAGAATTGGCTAGCACCTTTATCTTGGACTTCCCAGCTCCAGAACAATGAGAAATACATTCCTTTGTTTTTTATGCCACCCAGTCTACGGCACATTGTGATATCATCCGAAGCTCACTAATATATCGGGTATACTTAATACGGTCATGTCAGGCAAACAGACTCACAGAAGGTAGGTAAATGGGGGGAATTTTATTTGGGGAACTGGTTACAGAGAGCTGAAATTCAGGCAAGATGATACAACACAGACGTTAATAACCACTGAAAGCCCTAGCACCACAGGGACAATGGGAAAAGATGGTTCTAGCTGAGCCCAGGAGCCGAAGACAATGGGAAGGACTTAGATCCCTGCAGGAGGGAGCATCCCCAGAACTGGAATCCAACTGGAAAGTGTCTAGGTAGGACTAGGCCCATAGAGGGAAGAACCGTCTGATGCGAGATGGAAACGGAGAAGACAGAGCCAGTGCCAGCAGCACTGTCTAGAGAATGGGCTCAGCAATCCCCTGAATTCCCTCATCCTTCTCCCCACCAGTCACCCACCTTTGGCCAAACCTTCCCATATATCAGTGAGCAGAAGAGGCTGAGAAATTTAGCCTACAGGAGTCAAGACCTGTGGCACAGAAAAATCAGTAGAAAGGCAAGTAGTAAATCTGAAAAGAGTACAGTCATAACAACCAAGTGTGTTTCATCCCTATGCCATTTTTATAGAGATAAAAGTCAGGATTTCGAGTACTTTCACATTCCTTCATCGACTCTTGTTTATGCCCCAAATACCACAGAATGAGTATCACATATATACTCTGCTACATGAAAAGGAATTTATGGTCTTCATCCCTCACTTTCCTAACTACATTAAACACTTCTTAGGTTTCTCAGATGATTGGCTTCAGTGCGGAACAGATATGAGCAGAGAGCTGACTCTGGGCATCTCGGCTGAATTACATCCTCTCTGGTGGGAAGGCAGAGCTGGGATCCAGGGAACATATGAAGACTTCGTATGAGCATCTCCTAAACCCTCATCAACCATGTCCATGTTCTCAGGTGAACCCCAGTGTTGACATCACTCCTTGGGCTTACACAATCATCAACCTGTACCAGATGAATGCTCTTCTTCCATTGCGGACTTGATCTTAAGGACTGAAAAATACCAGATGCCCAGTATTAAAAACAGCCTAATATTCTCCCATTTCTCTTCCTATATGGAGGAGTCATAAGTTCTCTGGCTTTAAAGTTTTACAGAACCTTCAGTTTCACAGCTTCCATATGTAATAATTTGGTATATGGTTGCAAAAGAAAATATTAGCCTAAAATGAGGCCAGAAAGATAGAAGAAAGGGAGCTAGAGTCTTACCTTCATTTTTTTTACATTGTAAGACTATGAGAACATCTATTATATTCCCCAGGAAAATATGCATAATTTCACTTTTCTATATTCTTGACTAGACCTGATTATTTTTTAGGAGCAGCCCTCGAATAAACAGCAAACCTTACTGACTGAAAAATTCAAACTCCAACTGCTCACAGGCACCATAGAGAGAATGAGAATGAGAACATACACAGGGTGTGTGGTTGGGGTTCATGTGAATTCTTACCTGTTTTTCTTTAATTTACATATTCCAATTTCCACTCTTTGTGACTTCCAGAAACAGAATGTTATCTGAGCCAATTATCTACGTGCATTTTCTCTTCATCTCTCTCCTGAGCCAAATTCTGATTTAATTTCCACCCATGGTGATATGCAGCCATGTACGTAGGCCAGTTGGGCCCATCACATTTGAATGAATGTGATTAGACAGATGTGAGATGGCTCAATCCCAGATGCTTCCTCTAAGCGCTATTGTGGATGTGGAGAGAAACATTATTGGTTGTACTTTTAATATTCAGCAAATTGTCTCAAAATGGCCCCTAGGCACACATAAGGTTCAGTAGCTGGCTGGCATTCCAATCTCACAGTAAGTGAAATTCTAACTTTAGTAATAAATTAACTTGGGAACTTTGGACATATCTCACAAAATCTGTGAGATATCTGACTATGTCATTTTACCAATATCCACACACAAGTCTAGAACAATTACAATGTACAAACCTAGAAATTTGGGACATCTGGTTTACCAGTTGCTCCGCCTCTAGCTCAGCTTTCAAAGATGCTCCTGTTTACAATTAACGGACATGATTATTTCACGCAGATGGAAGGTCTTGCTGTTGGAGTTAAACATATTTGACTCAATCAATAGAGTTATTGTTCTGGGACCAAAATGTCTCTGACTCATAACCTTGCTTTTGCTCTTCCTATCAAATGAGTGTGATATTAATTTCTAGCCCTGCAGTGGTAGAATCCTCCCAGCAATATAAGAAGACGGAAGAAATAAGAACGTCAGTCAAGCACTCCCTTGACATACCTTTTCATTTTACCAGTCACACCACAGCAGCAGAACAAATATTACAGGCTTGTGTAAAGTGCTATAACTAATCCAATAAATGACAAGAGCCTCCCGTCCTCAGTAATTCTCATTTAGGATGTGTTTCTTCTCTAATAGGTTTCCCTCCAAATGCTTTGTGTCATGAATTCGCTACAGCAAAAACCTTTAAGAATCTGAAATTCACTGGAGCTATCCTGCATTTGCAGCCCAGAAATTACTGGCTTTAGCAGTCTTTGCTCTCTCGGTTTAATCTGAACATAAATACAGATATTTGCTTCAACAGTCGCTAAAGGAAAATTATAACACTGTCAAAAAAACTTGGAGAAGCTGCCTGAAAATGGTGTTCATTTCCCTTTTCTTTCAGCATTCTTCTTTGTTAGCACAACTCAGAGGAGTGCACCAGTAGAGTTACTACCTTTCTTCTTTCAATGACGGGGAAAGCCACCACCATCTGCCACATTTTTTTTCTAAAAGCAAAACCCAAACAGAAAAGGTATTTGCTCTTAGCAAATAATCAAAACGCAGCAAATGGACTGTCCCAACATGGTTGCTTTGCGGGGGTCACCTCTTTGGTTGGCAGTGAAAACCGACTCCTGAAATAAAAAGAAAAATTCAAATGTGACAACCGGTCTTCAGATGTTATCACCTTCAACTCATAAGCACTGAAGGAGAGCTAACTACCTTGCACTTCTTGTCACCTTGGTGGGGCATTGCAGGTTCTGGGAAGAAACTGAGGCCACTGAGGCCTGCTTTCCGAGAAAGAGACCAAAGGCCAGAAATGGAGCTAACAGGAAATAAAGACATATGGTTGTTGTTTCTCCCCTCCCTTCCCTCTCTTCCCCTCCCCTCCTCTTCCCTCTCTTCCCCTCCCCTCCCCTCTCTTTCCCTCCCTCCCCTCTCTTCCCCTCCCCTCTCTTCCCTTCCCCTCCCCTCTCCTCCCGTCCCTCCCCTATCCCCTCCCTCCCCTCTCTTCCCTTTCCCTCCCCTCCCCTTCCTTCTTGCCTCCCCTCTCCTCCCCTCCCTCCCCTCTCTTCCGACTCCCTCCCCTCTCTTTCTCTCCCCTCCCCATCCCTTCCCTTTCCTTTTCTCTTTTCTTGTCTTTTCAAACTTTACATTCGATTCCACCTCTTTACAAGCTCCCATTAGCTTAAGGTCAGATAGAAGTTTGCATGCAAACATAGTAAAATAGGCTTCCATACAGCAAACAACTATCAAAAGGTCATGCTTTTTATTTTCACAGACGTAAAAGCCACCATCAACATTTGCAATGAGAGCAGTGAGATGTAACAGCAACAACTGCTACCAATAAACCTAATAATCGCAAAGATCGCACCTAGTTTGTACCGTGTTATATCCCGGTGCAAGACAGTGACTGCTATAAAGCAGGTGATTGTTAAGTATTTTTTGAATGGATGAATGAACGAAATGTAATTTTGAACACTTCCCCCCCTCTTCCCTTGGTACATATATATAGGTGCTATATTTCCTCTTGACACATCAGTGCCACCATCTTCTTCTAAGGCTGGGCGGTACATTTCCCTGATCTATTTGCCTCTGAGCCTACTGGTCAGAGCTTGGTTTAAGGGGAACCCAGGAGTGATTTGGTAGGCAGAAAGAAGCAGAAGACATCGACCCCTGGACACCATTCTGCCCGGGGGTGGCTTCACCGTCCTCTCCAGGAGCCTCCATGTGTGCTCATGGCAGCTTATGGAGCTTCTTCCTGAGGTCCTGCTTCTCTAGTGCTGCAAGAAGAGATCTGAAATCAACACCTTTGTCTGGAATCTTCCACTGAAGCCTTCAAAACCTCCGTCCCCCAACTCAACCCATATTTGTGTAAGATCTAACTCCTATATTCCTGTAAAACTTGTACTCTCTTTTTCTGACCAAATCCAAATTAATGCTTAAAGATTATATGGATATATAATCTTTATATATATATATGAGGCTTCATACATTGCATTTGAGTAAGATCTTGTCTCAAAAAAAAAAAAGTAGAGAGATATCTGGAGGTGAACTCCAGATATGGTCCAGAAACTCAAATATGGTACCAGGTATTTGTGTGTGTGTGTGTGTGTGTGTGTGTGTCTGTGTGTGTGTGTGTCTGTGTGTGTGTGTGTGTGTGTGTGTGTGTGTGTGTGTATTTGCTGCATAGTTTTTATTTTATCAAAGTCGCTTCCTTAAGAATTCTAACCATAAAATTCTTTCCTGGCTTCTGCTCCCTGGAATTAAATCTTGAGCAGTTTCTAAAAAGATAGTTGGAATTCGTATTGATTAAGGGGAAGAAAAGTACACTGGTGGTATATACCACAGGACAATCATTGGTAATAACCATGAATAATAGCTAGTGTATTACTCTAAATGTGTTTAGCTGCAAGTAGCTGACCAACTACTCAGCAAACATGTCCATGTTCTTTAAGGGTAGAGACATAAGGATTCTTGGCATTTATTTATTATGATATCTGGAGGTGGCCAGGCACAGTGGCTCACGCCTGTAATCCCAGCACTTTGGGAGGCCAAAGTTGGTGGATCATCTGAGCTCGGGAGTTCAAGACCAGCCTGGGCAACATGGTGAAACCCTGTCTCTACTAAAAATACAAAAATTATCTGGGCATGGTGGCACACACCTGTAGTCCCAGCTACTTAGGGGGCTGAGGTGGGAGGTTTGCTTGAGCCCGGGAGGCAGAGGTTGCAGTGAGCTGAGATTGTGCCACTGCACTCCAGCCTGGGCGACACAGTGAGATCCTGTCTCAAAAAAAAAAAAAAAAAAAAATAGAGAGATATCTGGAGGTGGAGGTGAACTCTACATTGGTCCAGAAACTCAAATATGGTACCAGGGTTCCAGGCTCTTTCTGTCCTCCTGTACTCTAACCTCTGCACAGTGGTTTACTTAGAAGGTATGTACCTCATGGTAACATGATGGCTGCCACAGCACCAGACATCAGCTCTTTACACTGTGGCTCTAAATGTGGTAAAAGAAGAGGCTTCATACATTGCATTTGATTTTATCATGGAAAAAAACAATCTTCCAAGAATTCCCAGTGGGTCTCTCTTTGTCTCTCAGTGGCTAGAACTGGGACCCATGCCCCATCCCTAGCCCAAGCCTTGGCCCAGGGCAATAAAATGCCATTAGTGTTTTCGATTGCTCATGACAGCTTCCCTGGGACTGCCCATCCCCATGTGCATCTGGTAATGTCAGAAACAAAGTGGGGGATGTGTACTTCTGAAGCTTCACATGGCAAGCCAGATGGTTTTCAGTGTGGTGTAACTGAAACTTAAATAACACGTAAGAGCACAGTAATGAAGTGGTTCCTTTCAGATACACAGTGGGCTTTTCTGATTACCTTGAGTAGGAAGGCTCAGTCTGTTGTTGCTTCTGTGTCTGTAACATCAATCTGACACTTACTAACCTTTCTTTTTACCAAGAGGAAGCAGGACTCAGCCTCAAAGCAGTAAGCAGACAGAGAATCTAAGCAAAATGTTTTGCCTTTTTTACATTTATTCTATAATTGTCTTCTACTTACAGTAAGTGATCGCGGTTTTCCATTTGTAGTGCAGCTGTCATTTCCTTTTAAAATATATGTATCAGAGTTAAATAGGCATGTTTAAAGATAATTTTAAGTAAATAACATAAATATCATTATATATTATACTGTGGTAAATACTGCATTATGGCAAATATGACAAAAGTCATGAGCAGTGCATAAAATGCTGAAGATTAGTCAATTTTATCTTTAGGAAGAGTGAGAAAGAAAGTGTGAGAACAACAGGAACTTCCAGAATTCCCTAGAACCTACATGAGAAACATGAACACTGCATCTAGGTTAATTTCTCAGGAAAAATAATGTATGGAAATCTAAGCTCTTTGCATGGAGTTTCTTCTCTGTGACACCACCCTGTTAGTCTGACGAAAATCCACAAGAAAATCCCCAGTCGTAATAAATGTGCTTGTTAAAAGATATGTATTATTTCATCATTCTTTAAATGCTGTGTTGGCATTTCTCATTGGCATTCTAACTGGTGGTTGTTGCCACAATTACTTTTATTTCTGAAAATAAGCTGAGATATCCAAGGTCATGATTAACAATGTACTGATTCCTTGACTTTAAATTTCGTACTAAAATGACAGAGGAGTCCACAATCGTCTGTGTGTGTGTGTGTGTGTGTGTGTCATAGTGACTAAACCTCCATTGAACTAATTTATGCTAGGTAGCAGCAATACCCTCTAAAACTCTCTGTTTTGGTCTAAATAGTTCACATGTGCTCAGTGTTACTAAAAAATGTCAGTTCTGTTCACTGTATTATAAATGTGTTTGCCAAAATGTGGATCTTCCCCGTGGGGTATGTGCAGTGTGATTTTAGGTGGTCCCAGACAAAATGTTAGAACACAGAATCACAGAGTGATATGGTTTGGCTCTGTGTCCCCACCCAAATCTCATCTTGAATTGTACTCCCATAATTCCCACATGCCGTGGGAGGGACCTGGTGGGAGATAATTTGAATCATGGGAGCAGTTTCCCCCTTACTGTTCTCGTGGTAGTGAATAAGTCTCACTAGATCTGATGGTTTTATCAGGGGTTTTCACTTTTGTGTCTTCCTCATTTTCTCTTGTCGCCGCCATGTAAGAAGTGCCTTTTGCCTCCCGCCATGATTCTGAGGCCACCCCAGCCATGTAGAACCACAAATCCGATTAAACTTCTTTTTCTTCCCAGTCTCGGGTAGTCTTTATCAGCAGCATAAAAATGGACTAATACACGGACTGAGATATTTTATTTCATTTTTAGTTATTTTTCAACCCTTCCCATTATAAAAAGGAAAACAATTTCATTTAAGGACAGAAAGCTTTACCATTTCTAACACTTGCTATCTATTTTCAACCCAGAAAGGCCTGGCCTCAAGCCCAAAACCACAGGCAGGATTCAGATTCTAACCCAAAACACGTGCATATATGTGTGTGTCACAGTAGCTTTTTGTGTCACTACAGCTAGCAGAATCCCCACCAATAACAACTTTAACAACATATGTTTAATTCCCCACATGAGGGGCAGCCTGCAGCAGGCAGCCCCAGGGTTTTTCAGCAGCTGGAAGATGCCAAGAGTATCTGACTCTGTCTCTGCAATTCTGCTGGCCTTTCTCCAAGTGGCTATAAAATGGGCAAGTTCAGACATCAAACTCTGAGACACTGGCCTCCCAAACATGAAGCAAGATGGGTAGGGTCACTTCTCCCTTACCCCAGGAAAGGCTTTTTCCTGGAAAGACTGGCTTTATCTGAATGTTCTTACCCTGCTCTGACCTTACTTTTGTCTAAGGGTTCAGGACTCCAGCTTGTGCCCAACCATGGTCCAGTCACGGGCAAAGCGGGGTGGGGTCACGGTATTTCAGGCCAACTCTGACCCATGCCCCTGAGTGGTCAGGGCAGCAGTTTAGGCCCATTCCATCAGTACCCCTGGGTTGACAGAGATAAGAGAGACCCTTGGTTGAATACCAAGGGTCCACCCAGGTAGTATCTCCTGTCGCCGTTAGAAGCAAACTGAATCCATCCCAGAGAGCAGAGAAATGCTGTTGTCTAGAAACTTCCTCAGTGGCACGCTGTGAATCTGATATTGTCTTTAATATGAAAAGTGCAACAGCCATTCTCCAAGACAAAACATGGCTCATTCCTGCATCAACATAGCAACCTCCACCTCCCAGGTTCAAGTGATTCTCCTGCCTCAGCCTCCCAAGTAGCTGGGATTACAGGCACACACCACCACGCCCAGCTAATTTTTTGTATTTTTAGTAGAGATGGGGTTTCACCATATTGGTCAGGCTTGTCTCAAACTCCTGACCTTGTGATCCATCTGCCTCAGCCTCCCAAAGTGCTGTGATTACAAGTGTGAGCCACCACGCCCAGCCTGGCACACAAATCTTAACTGTAGGGTAGACATCTTCTTGTTATCCTTTTACCTAACTTAAGATTTCATGTTAACAAGAAAGACTAAGTTCTTCTGGGGGAGTAGACATGTGCCTGGTAAGTTGGAGTATGAACAAGCATCAATTAATGCTACAGATTCCCTCTTTATGGAGTCTTATGCGTCTTTTACAAAGAAAATGCCAAGGAGGGCTCAAAAGTTCAGCTAAATCTCTTTAATGCTAATCAATTAAGGGAAACAAGACTATGTTTATTAACGCTTGAATTATCAAATTTTGTAAAAAAAAAATGATTTGTACTGTCGTGTATAGTAGCCATGGTAATTCAAATAAGATTGACCAACATTGACAAACAACCCTTTTAATAATTAGATAAGAATGAATCTCCATTAGCCGTTTGGGGCCATATTAATGGGGACCTGTTTGTATGTTTTTTGTGTGTTTATTTTCCTGTAAGAGGTTATAATATTTGTGCTCCTTGCGCTTGCATATGCTGTTACTTCAGACTTGCTTACCAAGTGTTTGGTGAATGAACTTATAACTTGACCCTCTTAATTAACAGGGATTTAATATCTGGGGCACCTGACTCTATAGGCTGATGGCATGCTGGGCAACAATGAAATTGGTGATTTTAAGAGAAATGTAGCCAGCTCATAGGCTGCCATTCCTGAGCACTGACTGTGCCTGCACTTGCCCTGAGATCACCACTACATTTGCCCATTTGCCATCAGAACCACCATGAGGTGGGCAGCCATGACCCCCCCACAGATGGGGTCTCTCTACATAGGAGGCATCACACTGGACTCAACCTTGCCATGGTCCCTCATCCTCCATCCTCCCTCTTCCCTGACCCACTGGTTCCCCCTTTTACACCCTAAAAGACCAGTCAGGTCCCTGAGATCTCCACCCAGCATTGGGCCAGGTCCACCAGAGGCTGAAGCTAGTGTTTGCTCCTGTTTCTGGAATCAGGTTTCTTGGCCAGGTCTTGGCAGCTGAGGTCACACAGGCCTGGGACTGAGTCCTCCTTTGGTTATGAAGGAGAGTGACTCAACTTCCCATGCCTCAGCCTTCTCATTTATAAAACGGGAATCATAAAGACCCCCTCTTCACAGGGTCCAGGAATCAGTGCTGCAGGTGAGGCCTTTCACAGAGCACAACACGACAGGCACCCTTGTGGATTGTGTGGGCAACGCCATTTTACTCCATGGCCCCAGAGCCTGGAGCTCTGCAGGAAGCTCCCCATGAGCTGCAGGAAGCAGCATTTCTGATTGGGCTTCTGCCATGGGCCTGCTCCAGGTGACCCTCTTCCAAATGGCAGCTGTCTCTTGAGTCTCTTGGTTTACCCAACCCAGGAGAGAGGCAGGAGTGGCATATGTTTCAGGAAGATGGAGTCCTGGGGAGCAGGTGTGAGGGGTAGGGGGATGGCAGTGCACCTGGAGCCCAGGCCATGACACAGGTATGAGGGTAGGGGGATGGTGATGCACCTGGATCTGAGGCCATGACACAGGTGTGAGGGTAGGGGGATGGTGGTGCGCCTGGATCTGAGGCCATGACAGATGTCCCCTCAGGTGCTGCCTCCAGGACACAGACCCAGTATCTCCTGTCTTCTGTATTTTTCACAAGAGGCCAAAATTTGGAATTTTCATTTGCATATATGAGAGCTTCTAATTTTGTTAAACCATGACTTTTTAAAGTTGTTTCTGGCCCGGGCTCAGTGGCTCATGCCTGTAATCCCAGCACTTGGCAGGCTGAGGCAGATGGATCATGTAAGGTCAGGAGTTCAAGACCAACCTGGCCAAAATGGTGAAACCTCGTCTCTACTAAAAATACAAAAAATTAACTAGGTGTGGTGGTGGGCGCCTGTAGTCCCAGCTACTCAGGAGGCTGAGGCAGGAGAATTGCTTGATCCCAGGACGTGGAGGTTGCAGTGAGCCGAGGTCACACTACTGCACTGCAGCCTAGGTGACGGAGTGAGACTCCGTCTCAAAAAACCAAAAAAAGTTGTTTCTGAACAGTTTGAACACAACAGGTCAGCATGCTGCATTCAGGCCTCTGTTCTCCTCCACACAGCAGTTCTGCACAACCTTGTCCTTTTGACTGACAGCTCCAGCCCAGCCCTGCCAGGAACTCTCCCCACCCCACCTCATTGCTTTACTGGTCCCAAATCCCTTCCCCAGCCTCATCAGACCTGAAGATCCTTCCAGAAGGAATGGAATCTAGTAAATGAATTAATATCAGAGATGATGATGGATGAAGCTTAATCATTGGCCCCTCTCTGGAGAAACAAAAATTAAAAACCTTTTTCTGGAGCCGCCTCTTGAGTGTCCATCCACAGGTCCCCTTCTCTTTCCTCCTGATTGACCAAGCTCACATCCCAGAATAGATACTGAATAAAGATTCACTTTCCCAGGTCCTCTGGAGATGACAGGTGACCCAATATTGTCCAGGCAGACCTAAGAAAGACACTAATTGAGGCTTATGTAAAGCTTTTTCCTGACAAAAAATAAAAATAAAAAAAAGTAAAACTTGCCAGTTTTCTGCCTCTGAATGTAAGTAAGCAGGTGATGATATGCTGTGAGAAGCTCCAGCAGCCATTCTGTGACCATGAGGAGACTAGACCAAGGATCAACCAACATGCAGTGGGTACAGCAGAAAGATAGAAAGAACTGGGTGCTTGGAGACCTGGGAGATGGCTGAACAAAACCTGAAATTTCCTAGCTTTAGCTTCTTGTCATGTGAATTAATCTTTCTTGTTTAAAATCTTCTAGTTGAATATTCTATTATAATGAGGTAGTGTCAAATGATTCACAAAGGACCTGAGATACTAAAATGTGAAATTGTGGGCTGGGTGTGCAGTGACCCATGCCTATAATCCCAGCGCTTTGGGAGGCCAAGTTGGATGGATTGCTTTAGCCCAGGAGTTCAAGAGTGGCCTGGGTAACATGGCAAAATATTATCTGCACGAAAAATAAAATAAAATAAAATAAAATAAAATAAAATAAAATAAAATAAAATAAAATAAAATGCAAAATGTAGAGCACCACCTATGTAAGTTAAATATGAAATTGACCTCCGTATGGCAGCACTGACTTTTCCGGTGTAATTTCCCGATGGCATCTGCTACCTGTGTGAGTCTCTGTGAGTGCTGGTGTGTGTTGTCATGACACAACCTCACAAAAGTGAACAGGCACTCTTACGCTTTTATTCACCATTCAGGCTCCTGCCTGGAATTAATGAAGTGGATGGTTTCAATGAAAAAAGACTGCCAGATGCAGAGAGAGCCACAGCTTTGTGAAAATGAGGGGGTGCAAGAATCTGGCTGACTTCCTTCCATCCTGCGTGGCCGGTGTAATCACTCTACACCATCTGTCGGAAGTTCATATGGAAAATTGTCACAACGAGCTTTCTTTTGTCAACCTCATAAATGGTCCTATTTAAAAAAATTCCAAGCTTCCTTAGGCAACTGTAAGCAAATAAATAATTGTTTTTCACTTCAAAACTATCCATCTTTTCTCAAACCCCCAGCTACCATCAAGCCCCCTAGACATTTTCCATGTCATAACCCTCCATCTGCAGCTGGGTCTCCTACTGCACCCACGGTAGGCTACTGCACTGACCGGAATTCCATTTGTCTTGGTTTTACTGCCTGATAAAAGTAGAGATTGCATTAAACAAAGACTCCATGACAGACTGAGAGCATACAATTTAGAGATTAAATGGGCCAGATTTTAGATGCCCAAGGTGTTTACGGCAACGAGCAGAGTCAAAATAATTAGAAAATGATGCACGGCCTACCACAAACCATCTCTCATCTGAACAGCTGATCGTCACCCCCACAATGTTCCAGATGTGTGTGTTTTCTTCAATAATGGGGAGTTAAAAATAACCCTCTCAGTTCCTCCAAATGATGTATGGCAGGGCCACTGCCATCAGGCATTCTGCAGAGGGGAGCCTCCTCAGTTACTATAGAAAGGCTTGAGAATAAAATAAATATAACCATGTGCTCATCATCCAAATGAAATTTTAATTAATTCAGAACTTGTTCCGAAAGCTTTCCAAGACAACTCATGCTAATGAGCTCTCTGCACTCTTCTTCCTCCAGTTTATGATGTCATGCTAAATGGGCTGCATCTACCAATGTTGATGAGATGAAAATCCATTCATTCTGGACTGAGGTTTGAGTATAGTTTTAGGACCTGCTGAAACACCTCAATTTCCCTTCTTCAAAACCCAGGGCCTCTTCTCTCTCTTTCCTTGTTGGGCTGAGATTGATGGCTTTTGTAAAAGCTTTCGGCGCTTCATGGGAAGAATCTCAACTCAATGCATTGGCTTTGGGGCATTAACCAATTTCCGTACTTAAAACAACTACCCACCAGCCCTTCCTCCAGCCAGCATTTTGTGCATGGGTGACACCAGCAGTGAGACAGAATTATCTGCTGTTCTTAACCACACAGCCTGGCCACTTCATTGTCTATGGGTCAAGGGCAGCAAGGTGTCATCACCTTGGGGTGAGTACAGATCTGCCAGGCTCATCAAATCACATGCATTTGGTCTCTCCACTCAGAAAATAAATGCCAACTCCTACCTCATCTTCCCCAAGAGCCTTGAAAAAGTCAAATGAGATGAGCTGTGTACTCTGTGCACTAAATAATGTGTATACACAGACACAGAATGTGGAATAATTGTCACTGGAGACTCGAAGGGAGGAAGGATGGGAGGGAGATGAGGGATGAGAAATTACTTAATGGGGACAATGTACATAACTTAGGTGGTGATTACCCTAAAATCCCAGACATCACCACTGTGCAATATATCCATGTGACAACACTGCATTTATGCTCCTTAAGTGTATACAAATTTAAGAAAAAATGTTAAGTAGCTTTCATATTTGAATGAACACCTCTAACTTCCATCATGTTGGGTTCCTATGGACCCTGGAATTGTGAGACCACACAGGGAGAGGAGGAGCCAATCCCAGCTGTGCTGCCCCTCACCGGAATGGGAGCACCGAGGGCAGGATAGACCAGGGGAGGGAACATGGATAATGATTTCGACACCCTGGTGCTGTTGCTAGGCATTACCTTTTCACATTTCCTCCTAAAACCACAAGGATCTGATATACTGAGCATAAAACCCACAGCATGGGACAAAATACAACTTTTCTTTCAAATTATCCAATTCTAGACATGTGAGCAGGCAAGGACACCTGCATGTGATTGAGGAAGCCCCTGATGGACAGTCACTGTTCCCGGGGTGAGCTCTGGGGATGCGGGCCTGCACTCATCCGGACAATCCAGGAGGAGGCGCTACACCAAGAGTCAGCAGCCCTTTTTCTGTAAAGGGCCTGAAAGAAAATACAATAGGCTTCATGGTCTGTGCAGTTTCTGGCACAATTGCCCAATTTGGCTCTTGCAGAGTGAATGGACATGGCTGTGTTTCGTTAAAACTTTATTTACACAAATAGGTAGCAGAGGAAGGAAATCAATTCAAGAGATGTTTAAGAGACAAAATAACAGTTTGCAAACCAAAGACATATGACAGTATGAATAATGTCCTTAACTAGCTAATGCCCACACAAGAAAAAAATTAGATATTATCTCTATTACAGTCCATTTCACACATCTTTCATAAAAACAAAACAAGGGAATATTTCCCAACTATGGATGCCAGATCATTAGTGGGTCATTACATTGATTTATTGTCATTTTTATTTTTTTGAGACAGACTCTCATTCTGTCTCCCAGGCTGGAGTGCAGTGGTACAATCTCTGCTCAGTGCAACCTCTTCATCTCAGATTCAAGCAATTGTCCCTGCCTCAGTCTCCTAAGTAGCTGGGATTACAGGCACATGCCATCACGCGCAGCTAATTTTTCGATTTTTTGGTAGAGATGGGGTTTTGCCATGTTGGCCAGGCTGATCTTGAACTCCTGATCTCAGGTGATCTGCCCGCCTTGGTCTCCCAAAGTGCTGGGATTAGAGGTGTGAACCACCATGGCCGGTCCATTCCGACGATTTAGTGGATCACAACTTTCAAATTAAAAAAGATAAAATAGTCCAATAGTAATAAAATCACATTTGATATAAAATAAAACTTTTATTTTCATATAATAGTGAGGGAAAATATTTTCTATATGACTTCTTTAACTTTATGCATATACGTGTGTGTATGATATATGAAATGTATATTTTTCTTTGGGCCATCATCAATAAAGTTGGAAAAACACTGATATAATTGAAAGAACACAGAACTAGGAAATGGAAAGACTAGACAGGCTTTAATCTAAATTGTACTATTTGTTAGATTTGGATCTATATTTAACATCTCTAGACTTTACATGTCTTATTTGTAAAATTGAACCTTTCATTTATATTCTTAAAAATATATTTACTATGCACCCGCTATTAATCAGGCACTGTTCTAGGCTCTGGACATACATGGATCAACTAGACAGGCCCCACTCTAGGAAGCTAACAACCTACCTGGGGAGAGACATAAATAAACAAGTAAGTGGGTAAGCAGAGAAGAGGACGGGCTGAATGCTTATGGGGATGGGCACTGCTTCAAAGAGAGAGGTGAAGGAAGGCCTGGTAGGAAAGGGAGTGGCTATGAGAAGGTCCAAGGGGGCCTCTGGTGGTGAAAAAGAGCAAGGAGATTGCTGAGGGTGAATCTGGGCTCAGAGAGGTGAAAAGTCTTGATCACGTTCACCGGGGCCTGGTGGTAACTTGAACACAGGCTTTCCAGGCCAAATCTCAAATTCTACATCACTAGGCTTCTTCATTATGAATATGCTTCTTAAAATTGCATTTCTATATGCAAGCTGCTAGAAAGTTTCAAAGAAATGGTAGCACACCTAACTTTTGAATGCAGGTCTGGCTACCAGAGGCCACATCTCTCCAGCAATCAAGCTCAGTTGATGCCTTGAGGTATGGCCATTGCAACAAGGACTCTTGATCTCGCCTTCTCAAGCAAGTGCTTTTCTGATTAAAGAAGCATAAACAAAACCCCAAGCCATAGGTGCTGATTCTCCCCTGTGCAAATATCACTTGTATCAATCTCCAACTATACAATAGGCCTACATATGATACCAATACAAAACCTGCCTGTTCCAAGAAAGGAACTCACTCCATTACACTCAGGCATCAAGTCCATGATCTGAGTCTATTGCTTTGGAGCATCTGATGTCTGAAGTGGTGTGGGAGCCCTCTGTCCCCTAGTAACAGGTGGTGGAAGGCAGAATAACAGTCCTCAAAGATGTCCATGCCTAATCTCCAGAACCTTTGAATATGTTATCATACATAACAAAGGAGACTTTGCAGAGGTGACTATGTGAAGGCTCTTGAGATGGGGAGATTGTCCTAGATTATCAAGGTGGACTTATTATCATCCTAAGAGTCCTCGTGAGTAAAAAGTGAGAGGCAGGAACGTCAAAGAAGGAGATGTGATGATGAAAGTAGACAATGAAAATGAGAGCTTTGAAGATGCTTCACTTTGGCTTTGAGGATGAAGGAAGGGACCATGAGTTAAGACATACTGGTGGCATTTAGAAGATGAAGATGAAAAAGTTAGGGAAATTGATTCTCCCCTGAAGCCTTCAGAAAGAATGCAGCTCTGTCAACACATGGATTTTAGTCCAGTAACACCCATTTTGGGCTTCAGATTTCCATAAATATAAGAGAATGCATCTTTCTGAATCCTTGAGTCTGTGGCATTTTGCTTTAGCAACAATGAGGAACTAATACACTGATCCAGGACCCTGATCACGAATGGACACAAGGCAGGGCCATTACAGACGCCCATCCTCCAAACCACAGTGATTGGTCCGAGGATGGGCACATGACCCAAGCTGAGCCATTCAGAGTCCTTCTTTGTGGTTTTTCTTTCTGAGCCTGACGGCAAAGACTCTTCTGTCCTTTCTGAAAGGTGAAACCTTTCCCATGTGAGCCTATAGTTGTCAGAAGTTGTATTTCCTATGGCTTAGCAAAGGCCAGTCTGCAACTGCAGTGTAGAGACTGATTCAGAAAGAGGAGAGGAAGGAGAGGAGGAAAAGGAAGAAAGATTCTAAATGCTGTTTGAGCCCAAGAACAAAGTTCTTCTCACACTCAGCCCTGTCTGTTTCTAGTGTAGTTAGGATACACAATGCATCTCTTTCTCTCCTCTCTCTCTCTGTGTTTCTTCCTTTCTTCCTTTATTTATTCATTCATTCCTTCCTTCCGACCTTCTGCATGTCTTGGCTGGATTTTCTTCAACTGCAGTCAGAGAATTAACGAATTTGAAGGGTTTACCTAAACTTGTTATTCCTCTTGGGGAAACTGAGCATTTCCACACATAGTTTAAAGACAAATTAAGTCTCAACGTGAGATCCCATCTCCTTCCAAGAGGGGTTGCATGTACTCTGGTTGCTTCTCAGTCAATATCTTGAATAATAGACAAGTTCAGAAAAGGTTAAAGTAAAAGGAAATGATATGTTCTTTATCTTTTTGGAGAACTAAAGCCAGAGGCAAAGCTCTGAGCAGAGAATCATTAGAATCAGAACTAGGAAGAAAGACAAAATTTCATGGGGGACCAGGAGCCCAGGAATAATACCTGCTCTTCCTGGTAAGGTCTGTTATCAAGAGACAGAACAATTCGATGCCAAGCTACTTGAGTTCCCATTCTAGCTTCATAGCTTAGGAATGAGAAAGTGGGCAAAATATTTCACACATCATGCTCCAGATCCACATCTGTAAAGCTGGCTAAGAAAATATTTATTGCCGAAGAAGATTGTGATGATTAATAGGTTAACACACATAGAACGAATAGAAAGACGCACACATGGTCTGCTCTTCTAAAAGCCTCAACCTTTGCATAATGGCCCTCATTTCCTGCTCCTGACCACACATCACGCACCGCCCCCCCGCTCACCTTTTTGTTTGTTTGTTTGTTTTTCGAGACAGAGTCTCACTCTGTCACCCAGGCTGGAGTGCAATGGCATAATCTTGGCTCACTGCAACCTCTGCCTCCTGGATTCAAGTGATTCTCCTGCCTCAGCCTTCCAAGTAGCTGGAATTACAGGCACATACCACCATGCCTGGCTAATTTTTGTATTTTTTAGTAGAGACGGGGTTTCACCATGTTGGCCAGGCTGGTCTTGAACTCCTGACATCAGGTGATCCGCCTGCCTTGTCCTCCCAAAGCACTGGGATTAAAGGGGCAGCAGATCTTCCCCACAGAGTGAGACAGCCCATTGCTAGCAGAAATGGGCAGACCTATGTGGGAGCGTGACTCTTCTCTTTTGCCTTTTATAATCTGAACAGCTGCCAAGCTGGGGGATGAACAGGGTGGCCATTAGCAGCAAACTCTATCTTCTCAGAAGACGCCATCCAAATAAAGAGTTAGAAGATGCCATTCAACATAAACACTTTTTCACTTAATTCACTCTGGAGTTGCGCAACAGGAGAGCATATTCTGCCCCTTGTCCTGGTTCTTCTGCCTAGAAAATCAAATATTGCTTCCCTAGGCAGCCATCCTTCCTCTCATTATGCCCCATGCTGGGAAATTCATTGCTCCAAGACACTTGATTTCTTGAGCAGATAATGATTTCCAAAACTAAGGAAAGGAAAACACTCACTTTTGATGATGTTTGAGGATATTTTTTCCTTTTATTCCTAATATGTTGACAATGCACCTCTCTTTATAGACTCTCTGATACACTCGTTGTGAAAACACTGTCATAAAAGTGAATTGTGGTTGCTGTAAATTGTGTTATGGCAAGGTTAGGAACCACAGATTTTAAAAAGTGCCTCCCTATCTGACCCCCCCAGCTTTGAGCACCAGTCCTCTCTGAGTGGATGCCCTGCAGGGAATCTCTGGTCACAGCATGGGGTGATGTTATGTTAGTTTGTTTAGTTCTCATGGGAAAGGAAACACATGGGCACAATATCAGATGCTGGGCAGCCACCCTGCATCCTCCATCCCACCCACACCTCCTCCTCCAGCACTTGGCCTGCAACCTTCCTCCCCTGGTCTGCTTCTCTGTGGGGTCAGAGCTCCCAATTTGTGGAATCTATTGTTAAATAGCAACTCTTTTTTTTTTTTGTTTTTGTTTTTGTTTTGAGATGGAGTCTCACTCTATGGCACAGGCTGGAGTGCAGTGGCATGATCTTGGCTCCCTGCAACCTCTGCCACTTGAGTTCAAGAGATTCTCCTGCCTCAGCCTCCCAAGTAGCTGGGACTACAGGTGCACACCACCACATCCGTCTAATTTTTATGTTTTTAGTAGAGACAGGGTTTCACTATCTTGGCCAGGCTGGTCTTGAACTCCTGACTTCATGATCCACCCGCCTCAGCCTCCCGAAGTGCTGGGGTTACAGGTGTGAGCCACCACACCCAGCCTCTTTTTCATTTTGTCTATGTTTTTTTTCAAAGCAACCAAAACATATTGAATGGGTGAGATGTAGCCAAATTATTTTTCATAATTTGAATTTCAAGACGTTTCTTTACATTTTGTGACCCACCCTCTGTAACAATGTAACCCTGTCTAAAGCCAGGTCATCTCACTTCTCTGGAGCACAACATTCACCTTCTGCAAAGTGGGACTGTAACTTCTCACTCAAATCCACCCAATATTTTCTCAAGGAAGATGTGCAGCATCATTTCTTAATAACAGAGGAGAAGGGGATGACATATTTAATCTTGGAATTTATTCCAAGCCCCTGCCTAACCCTTTTTCCTAAGAACTCCACTGGAGCCCTGAATACGCAAACAGAGTGAGAGTGTGGGGTCGGTGAGTATTCAGTCACTCAAAGTGCGATCAAGGCTTTAAGAAGGATTTATGAGTCCACTCATCAAGATTCTATCCATTGCAACTGTCCACAATAGCAAAGACATGGGATCAACCTAAATACCCATCAATAGTAGACTAGATAAAGAAAATGTGATACATATACACCATGGAATACTATGCAGCCATAACAAAGAATGAGATCATATCCTTTGTGGGGACATAGATCGAGCTGGAGGCCATTATCCTTAGCAAACTAACACAGGAACAGAGAACCAAACACCACATGTTCTCATTTATAAGTGGGAGCTAAATGATGAGAACACATGGACACACATAGGGGAACAACACACACTGGGGCCTTTCAGAGGGTGGAGGGTGGGCGGAGGGAGAGGATCAGAAAAAACAACTAATGAGTACTAAGCTTAATACCTGGGTAGGGAAATAATCTAAACAACAAACCTCCATGACACAAGTTTACCTATGTAACAAACCTGCATATGTGCCCCTGAACATAAGAGTTAAAATGTTCATCTCTTCTAAGTTAAAACAAAAAAAAAATTCTATTCCTGCTGCTTCAAAAGGCAAAACAAGCACCAAAATTGACCACAAAGAAGTTCTCTCTTAACATCCATAGAAATGAAAACAATGTAGGATTTATTTTCCAAATAAGTCCTGCTCTGTCTCCTTTCTCCAACTTCCTTGGGAGTTACCAACCATCTCATAGAAGGACAGCATTTCTTAGGATGCCCTGTCTTCTGGGAGGCATTTCCATCCTGAGACCTCCTAGCTCCCACCTCAGGCAGGGTGGATCCATCTCCTTTCCCTTAAAACACACAAGGAGCCCCATGTAGACAAGTCCTGACAGCACCTGCAACTCCACAAGGATGATGCATGGAGGGAAGCTCACACCTGCCATTGGTCAGTGTCCTGTATGCCACCTCCTGTTGTCTCCAGCCCACTCCATCCTCTTCCCCAACACCAACAACACAGATTCACACAATCACGTGTTTTGGTGTGTATGTGCATTTCCTACACTGGCCACTTTTCTCATCACATGTGTTGCTTTTCAAAATTTTCTTTAGCTGGGCATAGTGGGACACCCCTGTAGTCCTATATACTTGGGAAGCTGAGGCGGAAGCATGGTTTGAGCCTAGGAATCTAAGGCTGCAGTGAGTCGTGATTGTGCCACTGCAGTCCAGCCTGGGTGACAAAGCAAGACTCCGTCTCTAAAAAGAAATAAATAAATAACTTGTTTATGACTCTTTGCTGCATCTTTCTTTTTAGGTAGCTCCTTTAAAAATATTCCAGATAGATCATCTTTTGCTCCATCAACAGGTGATGCAGTGGCTCTGCATGGGTGTCCCCTCTGAGGCTGGGTGATATGGTTTGGCTGTGTCCCCCCCAAATCTCATCTTGAATTGTAGCTCTCATAATTCCCACACTGATATGATTTGGCAGTGTCCCTACCCAAATCTCATCTTGAATTCCCAAGTGTTGTGAGAGAGACCTGGTGGGAGGTAATTGAATCATGAGGGTGGGTCTTTCCCATGCCATTCTCCTGATAGTGAATAAGTCTCATGAGATCTGATGGTATTACAAAGGGGAGTTTCCCTGCACAAGCTCCTCTCTTTGCCTTCTGCCATCCACATAAGATGTGATTTACTCCTCCTTGCTCTCTGCCTTGATTGTGAGGCTTCCTCAGCCACACAGAACTGTAAGTCCAGTTAAACCTCCTTCTTTTGCAAATTGCCCAGTCTCAGGTAAGTCTTTATCAGCAGTGTGAAAACAGACTAATACACACATGTGTGGGAGGGACCCAGTAGGAGTTAATTAAATCATGGTGGCAGTTTCCCACATTCTGTTCTCATGGTAGTGAATAAGTCTCATAAGATCTGATGGTTTTATAACGGAAATCCCTTTCACTTGGCTCTCATTCTCTCTTTGCCTGCTGCCATGTAAGGCATTCCTTTGCTCTTCCTTCATCTTCTGCTGTGATTGTGAAGCCTCCACAGCCATGTGGAACTGTGAGTCAATTAAACCTCTTTTCTTTATAAATTAGCTAGTTTTGGGTATGTCTTTATTAGCAGCGTGAGAACAGAATAATATACTAGGTCTGTCTCCCTGTGGATCCCCAATCTTCCCCACCTCATAGTTTTCCAGACTGTTAAGCCTAATTTCTTTAGATAAAAGCTTTACAGTCTGCTTCAAATGCAAGGATGGGCAGAGACTTCAACAAGTTCACTCCCAAGGTTAAAAGCATATTGGAAAATAAATCACCATTTTATAACTTTTGTAAGAACATTATTAATGCCTTTTTTTCTTAGAGAAGTTATAGACAGGTTGCACTTATCTGAGTGGAGGGACCACAAGTTATTCATGGGTTTATCCCTACCAGGTGTGCCATAGTGCTTCGCTCTTAGAAAAGGCTGAAAATGTTGATTGTTGAATGAATGAGTGGGTGAATGTTATGAAACAGAAATGAAAATAAAAATACTCTGTGACCCAGAGCACAAGAATAACAACAACAAGAGCAACAGCACAGTAAAAAAAAAAAAATCACATAAAAATACCCATTTATTTTCTAAATGCTGTGAAAGAGAATGTTATTATATGTCATTCTGAGATTGAATGGAAAAAAATGTTTTCTTCATCTGAAACTCAGCTACGGGACAGATTATGGACAATTCAGTGATTTCCAAATCTTATTATTACCCAGGGAGTTTTCTAAAAAAACTATAATTTCTAGGGCTCTGCTTCAGACCAACTAAATTAGACTCTCTAGAGAACAAGGTCATGTAATTTCCATTGAAATGAAAAAGTATTTTCAGGTGGCTGCAATTCAGAAATCCTGGTCTGTTAATGGGATATGACATCCTAAGACAGAAGACCTGCTTGGATTTTTGTTTCCAACACTAACTACCCATGTGACTGGAGTCTGTCTGAAACTATTTTGTTCTTATATCTTGTAAAAGAAAACATTGACCTGCCTTTGCCAATCTCACATCTATGTAATCAGGATAAAATAAGTCCCAGTGGTCTTTCTATGAATTGCAAAGAACTATGGAAGAAGGTCTCTGTTGTTGTCTATGGTTGGAAGGCGGGCTGAGGGGGAATCCCTTATACACAAAATTAAAAGTAGGAAAAATTGTTCTTTATCTGAGGCCATGGGTCCCATTTTTGTGTTCTAAGAAGGCGTGAGCAAGAGAAAGTGAAGAGCAAGGAAAGCAATCCTGGAATGGGTGACTCTACTTAGGGTAGTATTTGTTTAATTTCATTCCAGTTGGCTCCTTTATTTCCACAGTTGCTTCAATCCTGAAAAACACATTCAGTTGGCAGTTTGCATCCTCTCTGGAGCCTCCTCTGGATTTATTCCTTCCAAATCCATCACTTTCAATGATCTCTTTGACTTCTAGGTGGAGCATTTTAAGTGGCCCTAACATCCCTCTCGAAGGTTCACTCCTTCTAGGGTCTTGCAAGGCAAGACTGGACAGTGCCCCTTTGTCTACTATTTTAGATCCCCCAGAATCATTCATCATTGCTCAGTGCTGTTTCAGTCTGATTCCATTGAGCCATTATTTTTTAGCTCTACAGAAATAGTCTCCTCTGACATTTATGCTCTTTAGGATCACAAAGCCCATCTCCTCCTGTCATCTAAAAATTCCAACTAGTAGAGTTGATGCAACAGGAAACCATAAAATAACTTCAACCTGTTCATACCCTGTCCTCCCCCATCTATCCCCTTCAGTCTTTGGAGAGCCATCCCTCCTTCTTCCTGGCTGAATAATCCGATAACCATCAGTGGATACAGAGTCATGTATGAGAGAAAGGGTTGGTAGCAGCTTCATATTGCACAAATTCCTACTTCGTGCCAAATGCCATTCTATGCTTTATATAATAATGAGAACTAACATTAATTCACCATCTGCTATGTGTCAGCTGCATGTAGTTAACTCACATAATATTTGCCAAAGACCTAATAAAGTGGTATCATTGTCATCCTGCTTGTGCAGAAGAGGCATTCAAGACACAGAGAAGTTGAGTAACTTCTCAAAGACGCATTGCTAATGATCTGCAGAGGTGGAATCCAGGCCCAGGCCAGCTTCCTTCCTTTGTTACTGTCACCACACTCCAATAACATTTTTTTCTTGTTTGTGTTAATTATATGATATACTGGAAGTTAATATCATCTTATTTATGCATAAGGAAATGCATACTCAAAGCAGTAAATGACATGAACCACCTGGCACATTAATAGCAGTTTTGGGTCTAATTTCATCTGACTCTCAGGCCACAAGGCTCCTGAAAAACCTCAAGACCACTAAACTTTCACATGCGAACTCGCCTAAGCACAGTGAGCATCCCCAGGGCCACATTCCTGGGGGTGATATCAGGTGACACATGGACCAGAACTGAGTAGCGTTGACTCATGGAGTATTAAGTTACTCCCTTTCTATTTTATTTCAGTCCATCTGATCATGATGATGAGGCAAAAACCTCTCTTGTGTTCTAGGATTCTTTAATGCCTCGCTGACCCTTGCTAACCCCCTTATTTAGCAGATTCAGAAGCCCAAAGCCCACACTGCATCTGTACACTGTATCAGTACATACAGCGTGCAGAGAAAATTTAATAACGTGAGTTTGTTTCTTTGCTTTAGTTTTTATATTTAATTTATTAACAAATAAGAGCACTTGTCTATTTATGGTAGTGATGAAAAATTTTATTTAAATAAATTGATTAAAATTAGAAAGATGGGGCTGGGCATGGTGGCTCATGCCTGTAATCCCAGCACTTTGGGAGGCCGAGGAAGATGGATCACTTGAGGCCAGGAATTTGAGACCAGCCTGGCCAAAATTAGCTGGGCATGGTGGCACTCGCCTATAGTCCCAGCTACTTGGGAGGCTGAGACACGAGAATCCCTTGCATCCTGGAGATAGAGGTTGCAGTGAGCCGAGGTCGCGCCACTCCACTCCAGACTGGGCAACAGCGAGACTCTGTCTCAAAAAATTAAATAAAATATAAAATAAAATAAAGTAAGAAAAATAGAACATACTAAGTCTGTAACAACATAGATGATATCAGTAACAGTGATACCCTCCAAAAGTAAATTCATTGATATTTAGAAATGTGATATTAATTGGTTTAAGAAAGGAAGAATGTCTTACTCATTTTTGTGTTTTTGGAAACCGACAACTCCACCAGTGACAGAGAACTGCGTCCCTTTTATTCATGTCTGTAAATCCAGGAAAAACAGTGTCTGATATCTAATAGGTTCTCAAAAATAAATTTAATTTATAATTTAACTAACTCATTGCTGTGAACGTCTTTGCATGGCAGCACGCTGGAAAGAGAAACATTTCTAGTGTCCCCTTTAACTTTGAATTAGAATCTTCAGTGGACGTCTGGCTTCCCTCTTTCTGTTTCATTCGTGGACTCAGTGGCCACTCTCCCTGCTTAAAGATCTACCATGAGGCATTATCTATTATCATGTTCTAACACAGGACAGCCACTTTCTTTTGCAAGTACTGGGCATTAGCTGACCACGCAGAGTGACACAGATGTGCAAAAACAAAAACAAATCAGTTGTCCCTCACTGAACTGCCATGGACCAACCCAGAAAGAACATGCATGTGCCGTGCTTCCACTGGAAATCTGAGCTTCTTGGGAATGTTGTCAAGCCAAGGCCAGGGGCCAGGCTCTTCCCCCTCCTCATGCTGAGCCCAGCCATGTGGATTTTATTAATCCACTCAGACACCTATTGTGTATTAGGATTTGTCTTAAGTTTTGCATGGAGAGTTAGTGGGTGTGGGAGTAAATTTGACTCAGCCCCAGATCGTATTGGGTGACAGATTTGTATGGGGAGACAAGTATTTTCATAGGTATATACAATTTCAGATATATTTAACTAAAAGTTGAGCCATTTTGGCTTTCTTCCTTCTTCCAATCTCCCATTGCTTAGAGGGCTTGCAACTATTTTTCAAATTCACTATTATTAAGTTGATAATTCTTTTTAACAGCATGGCTTCATACTCACTCTGCAAACTCTAGTCTCAAAAGACCAAAATCAATTGCACGGAAGTTGGAGATCTCAAATCATATTTCACCAGTAGGGGTGAGGGAAGGACGTTGACCCCAGAGAGGAGTGCTAGCTGTAGGAAGCCCTCCCGCACTGACCCCAGGAGCGGAGGACACAGCGATGGCTCTGGGGGGAATAATGTGGTTGTGTTGGTGTCATTTGGTGAGTGTGTGGCCTCAGCTACAACTGTAAAAATAGGTATTAGCATTATCTTTACAAAGCTGTTGTAAGCGCCAAGTTAGAGGGACTTTGAAAACGGTGAATGATTGGACAAATATCAGGCCACATTCCACTTGGAGGAGTGAATACAGCAAATAGATTTTATTCAAACAAAGGTATTAAAAAAAACCTGAAAGCCAACTCTGATATACCCTACACTGAAGTACCACGAGCTTAGAGAAAGTGAGGTCACTATCCATGTAGCTATGGGAAGATCTCTAGGATACATTGTTAAGTGAAACAAGCAATGTATAGAGCAGTGTACAGGATGCTATATTTTGTATAAGAAATAGGGCCTAAGGATATAAGAATACATAGATTCCTATTTGCTTTTACTTGAACTGTAAAACAAAGGGGGTCTATATAAATTAATAGCAATGGCTTATTTTTCAGATTCGAGGGCATGGAGTGGGGATGGATAGGATAATTAGATTTCTCAATCTATGTTTTTATTTTGAGTCAAACGATTTAAATTCAGCCTTAAAAAATCAAGGACATATTTTCTTTTTCCATTCCTCCTTCAGGCCACAGATCACATTCTTAAACACTGCAGTGTCAGGGAGCAGAGATAATTTACTTTCCTGAACTTGCTAGAATCCAACCAAATTACGATGATGCTCTTGCGACTGCCGATGGATTGTGTTAACTTAATACCATCATTAAATGTTTCCCTTCAAGAAGAAAATATCTCTTCAGTTTAAGTAACATATTTTCTGAGATGTGTTATTAATGTACCTCTCCAGAGGCAAAGTTGCTGTATAATTCCAGTGCTAGGAAAACATATCAGCCTATAATCTATGTTTTACCTTGTCTTTTTGCTGGAAATGAAGGATTTTTTTATTCCCCCTGATTCTGAAACACCTTGTTACAAGGTAAATAGCTGCACTTTCTTTTGGCTGTGCAGATTGGCTCTGGGTTTGTCATATCTATGTGGGGGAAATAATTACTGCTTAAAGACACTGCACTGGTCTACACACAGATTAAAGGGTGAGGAAGCCAAGTACTTGAGGCTGTTTTGGGGAATATTGGGCGTCCTAACCAATAACCAGAAGGTTGGGTTACCATGTACTTTCCAGCAGCCGACAGAACATCAAAGAGGTCTTGGAGAACCGGTCAGATCCTAATGGCCCAACAGAAGGGGGCCCATTTTTCAAACATGGACCACCACATCTTAGAATGACAGGTGCTAACAAGGGAATGGGAGAGGAGGCAGCCAGCTTTCCACAGGAAGCCAGCCCTTCCCTCCTCCACAGTGCCGAGCAGTGGCTGGGAAGCTGCTGCCCAATGGGGCTTGTCTTACCCAGCCCTCTTCATTTAGGCTTGGGCATGAGAACAACTCTTGCAGTTACACCAGAGAGAAAATGGTACATGCTACTTTCAGGCCAAGGCTTTTAAAAAGTGCTTTGCCTCTCCCCTCCCTCCATGCTCTCCTCTCTTTTTCTTCAGCCAGTTGCAGGCAGTGCTGAGATTCCAGGGAGATGGCTCAGCTGGTTCTCAGAGTCATAGAAAAGACTTGCCCACCAGCCATGAGCTATTGTGTGAGAGAAAAAATTAATTTATATTGTGTTTGGGCTATTATGTGCCCTGGGTTCTATTTATTACAACATGATTTTAACCAGTACAATAAAGTACACTACTTCAACTCACGCAGTAAACCTAACGTCTATCACATGTCTACCATGTGCCAGGCGTTGTTCTGAGTGTGTTGTACACATTATAAAATTAAATCTTCAGAACAACACTATGGGAAATTATCATCCCCAATTTGGAGATCAGGAAAGTGAGGAACAGAGAGTTTAAGTTACTTGTCCAAGGTCACACATCTGTAAGTGGTGAATCCAGTCTGAATTCGAAGCCCACACTTTTAATCTTATACTATATAAATACTGGTTGATATTTACAGGTAGGGTATCTAAGAAAGAATATCATGGGTTATGAAAAATAGGAAAGTAGAGAGTGAATAATGACCGTTAAGCACCTCAATGATTTTCATGCGTCATTTCATTGAGCCTTGGTGGCAGTGGTCTCCAATATTGTTGGCACCAGGGACCAGTTTCTTGGAAGATAATTTTTCCATGGATGGGGTTAAGGGGTGGGGGGCAATAGTTTCAGGATGATGCAAGAGCATTACATTTATTGTGCACTTTATTTCTATGATTACTACATTGTAATATATAATGAAATAATTATACAACTTACTATAATGAAGAATCAGGAAGAGCTCTGAGTTTGTTTTCCTACAACTAGATGGCCCATATGGGGGTGATGGGAGACAGTGAAATATCATCAGGCATTAGATTCTCATAAGGAGCATGCATCCTAGATCCCTCACATGCACAGTTCACTATAGGGTTCACACTTCTTTGAGAATCTAATGCCACAGCTGATCTGATGGGATGCAGAGCTCAGGTGGTAATGTGAGCAATGGGGAGCAGCTGTAACTACAGATGAAGCTTCACCCCCTCACTTGCTGTTCACCTCCTGCTGTGTGGCCTGGTTCCTAACAGGCCATGGACCTGTGGCAGGAGAGTTCAGGACCCCTGCTTTACAACAATCCTGTGAGGCAAGTACTATTATTATTCACATTTTGGGTGAAATAATTGAGACTCAAAGAACTTATGTAATTTTCTCTCATGAAACTTTTATTAATGACCAGCTTCTGGCTCTGAGTCTGTGATCTTCATAACCCTCTGAATTTCCCTTTCTATTAATAAGCAGCAGAGTCAGCCCCATCTGAACCCCAAGCCCAGCCCATTTCCACCCACTGTGGATGTTGCTTCCCCAGCGCCAGGGTCCCTAAGGGCCAGGTTTGCCTCCCACTAAGATCTGGGCCTCAAGAGCATCAGACTCACAACCTTCTCTCTGAAAGTCATTCCCACCTTTGGTTTCTCAACATCTGTTGGGGTACCTGAGACCATAAGTGCTATGGACTGAATTGTGTCTCCCAAAATTTATATGTTATAATCACAGCACTCATGTTCTCAGATTAAAGAACAGGTAGGCAAGTGCTCAGAGCTGCACTGAAACATGGGTATAATTATATTTATGCCCTTGGAACAAAACTTTGCAAAATAGCAATGAGAGTCTACCATGTTCATTATGATCTTTTGATTCAGCTCTTAGAAAATCTCTTCAAGATACAAAGGTTAGCAGTTTAAGGTTTACCCAGTGTAAGCCCTTCTTTTCAAAACCACATCATCTTCATGACCAAATAAAATATTTCGGCCAGGTACAGTGGCTCACGCCTGTAATCCCAGCACTTTGGGAAGCCGAGGCGGGTGGATCACTTGAGGTCAGGAGTTTGAAACCAGCCAGGCCAACATGGTGAAACCCCATCTCCACTAAAAATACAAAAACTAGCCGGATGTCCTGGTGGATGCCGTTCCAGCTACTTGGGAGGTTAAGGCCAGGAGAATTGCTTGAACCCAGGAGGCAGAGGTTGCAGTGAGCTATGATCATACCACTGCACTCCAGCCTAGGCAACAGGGTGAGATTCTGTCTAAAAAAAAAAATTTCAGGAAACTGTCATTTGTGTGTCTAGGTATGGAAGAGAAGGTGGGGCAACTATTTCTTCATGTGCAGAAGACATAAAATTAACAATCAATCCAACACAGAATCACAAAACTTCAAGGTACCTACAATTTTATTTTCTAGATGAAGCAACTAAGGCCATCAAGGTGACTGGTTCAGAGATACACACTACTTTTAGGGGTGCAAGATCAGGCTGGGGCTGCCTGAAGGACTCCCCACCTCAGTGAGTGGAGCCACCATACAGCTCATTTTGCAAGATATAAACCCCCAGACATTGCTCTTCTGTTTACCCCAATTTATACTTGCAGATTAAGTCTTCATGTCCATTGGGTTCTTTGACATCTTCACATGAGTAGATCAGAGGTATCTCAAACTCAGCATGTCCAACTTCAAGTTCATGACCCATCCATCATTTTCACATATAATAACCAGCAATTGTATAAGCCAGAAACCAGTCTTTCTTTCTCAATCTCTCCTTCTTCCTCATCTTCCATATCCAATCTATCACTAGTTCTCTTGATTTTACTCTTCAATCTCTCTTGAGTATGCCAGTTTTTCTCTCCACTGGTATCTTTCTTAATCCAAGCCTCCATCATCTCTCAGCTGGACAATTCCAATTACTTCTAACCACCTCCCCTCCCAATTCTACACTGTAGCCAGAGAGCACTTTTATAAATGAAAATATATTGTTTTGCCCTCGTTTAGATACATCAATGGTTTCCTATAGTTATTCATATCAAGAAAGAACTGTCCTTTTTCATTGTTTACACCATTTACCTCTGCAGGTTCATCTCACACCACTCTTTCTGTTGTTCAATGCTCCAACCTCATGGTGCTCCACTGACCACCAACAATGAATGTACTATGATTTCCCCACCTCAGAGCCTTTAGCTCTTATTTCCTTCTGCCTAGAACAATATCTTCTTTTCCTCTCATCCACAGTTTTCACACTGTTAAACTACTCATTCTTTTCATCTCAGTCCAAATGTTTTTTGCTCAGAGATTTCCACATGAGGCATGTCTGACCTCTGTTATTACACATCACTCTAGTTCTTTTTTAATGTTACTATCAACTCATTGCCTTTCTCCCTTGCCTGGCTGTAAGCTCCTTGAAGGCCTGGACCACCTATTCACAGAAATCAGTACAGAACCTGGCACATGTAGGTTTTCTTTGTTGGGAATTGCTTTTGAAGCTCAGACAGGAAGACAGACCTCCTAAATCCTGACCTCAAGTCCTTTCCATTGACACACGTTTCACACACAAAAGAGTGGCAGGCAGAGGTAGAGTTATTCAGAAGGGAGAAAAATGTATGAAACGTCTACATTTGAATCAGCAATGCATCACAGAACTTTCCCAAGGTAAAATGTTGGACAAGAGACTGTTGGATATTGTTGAATAGAAGGCAAAAGATTTCCCCTAAAAGGTCCCTAAGGCAACAAAAATTAAAGTTTTCTTACATTCAAATCCTCATGAAATCTCTCATATGACACAGCATCCTCTCATTTGTTTTAATCTGTACACAAAACAAGTAGTGCTTGGGGAGACAAATGTGTGAAACACTCTCACCCAACACTGCTTTGGATATTGATATGGTTTGGCTGTGTCTCCACCCAAATCTCACCTTGAATTCTAATCCCCATAATTCCCACATGTCAAGGGCAGGACCAGGTGGAGGTAATTGGGTCATGGGGGTGGTTTCCCTCATGCTGTTCTCTGATAGTGAGTGAGTCTCATGAGACTTCATGGTTTTATAAGCTTCTGGCATTTCCTCTGCTGGCACTTACTCCATCCTGCTACCCTGTGAAGGAGGCACCTGCTTCCCCTTTGCCTTCTGCCATGATTGTAAGTTTCCTGAGGCCTCCCCAGCAATGCGAAACTGTGAGTCAATTAAACCTCTTTTTTTTTAAAATAAATTACCCAGTCATGGATATTTCTTTATAGCAGTGTGAGAACAGACTAATACAGATATTTACAGAGGTCAACTGCCATAGACAGTTTGGGGAAAAAAGGCAAAAATAATTAACACAGCCTTCTTCATATTTCCCCGCTTGGGATGTAGCTTCATAATTATAAGTGTTGAATATTAATGCAAAAGTCATTTTTTAAAAGTAATTATTAAAAGTCAATTAAATATTGCTTTAAGAAGTAACATGGAAAGCAATTATGTTGTAGTGATAGTAAATATCCACCTAGAGGAAGACAAAACTTCAACAACCTATGTGTGGGAATTTCCAGTGGCCACACTGAAACCTTTAAAAACAATGCTATGTCCCCAATTACTTCAACTGAAGTGAAGTTGTTTTGCTCAGAAAAATTATAAGGGGATTGCGAATGTGCCTCTAGCGATGCAGACACTAATGTTAAAGGTGCCAGTGAGGAGGGCAATTAAAATGATTCAAGAAATGTGAAATGGTTAATAATAAATTGTATTTTAGAATTAATGTATTTTGTGGATATGATTTTTAAAACCACATATATGTTCAATTAAATTAATAATTTAAATAGCATAAGTAAACACCTGACTGCTTAATATATTTCTCTAGAAATTTGTATAGGCAAATTACGCTAAAGATGTTTTCATGGAATGTTCACATTATGAAAAATGAGTCACCTTTATAATGATCATCTATAAAATCCAGGCACATAATTCAGCAAAACATATTTACAAAAAAATATATATATCTCACCTGCTTATATTGATACTTAGGAGTTGGCCAAATTTATAATACTACAATGCATTTCCATGCCCAAATTAACAGAAAGTAACAGACAGCTATATGAGAAATTTCCTGTACTTAAAAAAAATGAGATCATGGCTCTATAGCTTGTAGAGTAAAATCTTCTAGTGATGTTCATCAGAGGAGGGTAGCACATAAGAAGTGCTATCTCTGATCAGTAAATTCAAGACTTGAGCTTGTTTACCTTTTCTTCCTATAAGAAGGTGCAGTGTTTACCTCCCTAAGTGCCCCCACATTCTCCATCAAGGATTCTAAACTCTGATATCTCCAGGGCCAGGCAAGTAGTGCTGATGCAGGAAGCAGGCTGAGTGGGGACTGGAGTGAGCTGGAGAAGTTTCCACAGGGGCTGGCAGCCCCGGTGCTTTCATTTACTCTTAGGTGCAATGTGGACACAGAAACCTCTCTGTGTCATGGAGGAAGCAAAAGATGAGCACGTGCGCTGCCCAGAAGTTCTGCCTTCACACCAGTAGCTCATCCGCAAGTGAAATAGAAGACCAAGGAAGTACAATTCGATAATAAAAAGTAACCCAATTTGTATATGGGGAAAGGATCTGAAAAGGCAGTTCTCTAAGGAAGATATACAACTGGCCAATAAGCACAGGAAGAGATGCCTGGAATTATTAGCCATGAAGGAAATGCAATACATGAAAATGAAATGCTACTTTACACCCATTAGGCTTGCTGTATAGAAAAAAAACATAAAATGACTAATACTGCCAAAGATGAGGAGAAATTGGAAACCTCATCTACTTACAGTAAGAAAGTAAAATGGTTTGGCCACTTTGGAAGACAGTCTGGCAGCTCCACAAAAGGTTAAATGTGGAGTAAACCTATCATGCAGCATTTCCACTCCTAGGTACATACTCGGGAAAATTAAAAACCTATGTCCATACAAAGACTTATGCAAGAATGTTTATAGCAACATTTTACTCCTAATAGCCCAAATTGGAAACAACTCAAATGTCCATCAACTAATGAATGGATAAACAAAATATGGTATATGCATATCATGGAGTATTATTAAGAGGAAAAAAACAGAAATGAAGCACTGTTACCTAATACAACATGAATAAACCTAAAAATTATGCTAAGTGAAAGAAGCTAGTCACAAAATACTACATATTATATCATTCTATTTTTATGAAATATCCAGAATAGACAAATTCATACACACAGAAAAAAAAATATTGGTTGCCAGGATCTCAAGGAAGGGGCATATTAGAGAGATGGGGAGGGAATGCTAATGGGAAGGAGTTGCTTTTGGGGCAATGGAAGCGTTCTAAAATTTACTGTGGAGGTGGTTGCATAACTCTGGGAATATACTAAAAACCATTGAATCATATACTTTAAACTGGGGAAGTATATATATGGCATGTGAATTATATCTCAATAAAGCTGTTATTTTAAAAAAAAGCAAGAGTAAAGAGGAGGTAATTTATAGGATGCTAAAAGCTGACCCAGTCTCCTCAGTCACAAAAATGAAATGCAGGAGGTTGAATATATTAAAACCCCTGTCATATTCAATTCAAAATATTACACATCTTCAGAAATCTTTAAGCACAATTAATCAAGGTCATCACTGGAAGACCAGATGAAGTTTTAAGTCAGAATGATATTAAATTTGGAACTCTGTTATGCAAAACCACAACCCAAGGCTTGTCTGAACAATAATTTCAGGCAGGCCTAGTTAATTTTTGGAGCTAAATTGTTTCCCCTGCTTCCTCTCCAAAGTCTAGGCTCTAGTCAGCTGATCAGAAAATTTATTGCAAGATGTTAATGGAAAGTGATAGCTAATGTCTAAGTCCTCATAAAAATTATATCCAGGTCATTAAAGATGTGGCCAAGAAGGCAAGCCCCAAGAAGGACCTAGAAGGAAAAAACACACACACGCACACATACATAGTCCCACACACAGACACACACATACAAGCATACACAGACACACAAATATAGAGACACACACAGACACACACACACACACATACACAGACACGCACATACAGGCATACACAGACACACACAGATACAGAGACACAGACAGACACACACACACATACACAGACACACACATACAGGCATACACAGACACACAAATACACACAGAGACACATACAGACACACACATACAGACATACACAGACACACACAGATACACACAGAGACACATTACAGACACACACACACTTACAGACACACACACAGAGACAGACACAAAGACATACACATACAGATATACACACACATACACATATACAGATACAGACACACATACATAGACACACACACGGACATACACAGAGAGAAATATACACATTGCAAACATACACAGACACACACACACATACACAGACACACATACACACACAGAGGTACATACAGATACACACATACATAGACAAACATAGACACACACATACAGACAAACACACAGAGACAAACACAGACACACACACATATACAGATATAGACATACATAGACACACACACGGACATACACAGAGAGAAATATAAACATACAAACATACAGATATACACAGAGACACATACAGACACACATGCAGGCACATACACAGACACACACATAGACACACACATACAGACATACACAGAGACATACAGAGACATACACAGACACATATGGCCACACAGGCACACATACAGACATACAAAGACACACACACAGATATGCATAGAGATAGAAACACACACAGGCACACACAAAGACACACAAATGATAGGCCATTTGACATTCACAAACAGGTAATGTAAAGCACTTTAAATCATATGGAAAACCGGAGTCCGTTCCAAGATGGCCGAATAGGAACAGCTCTGGTCTGCAGCTCCCAGCGTGATTGACGCAGAAGACCGGTGATTTCTGCATTTCCAACTGAGGTACCTGGTTCATCTCACTGGGACTGGTCAGAAAGTGGCTGCAGCCCATGAAGGGTGAGCTGAAGCAGGGTGGGGCATTGTCTCACCTGGGAAGTGGAAGGGGTCAGGGGATTTCCCTTCCCAAGCCAAGGGAAGCTGTGATAGACTGTACCACAAAAATTGGGACACTGCCACCTAAATACTGGCTTTTCCAAAGGTCTTAGTAAACGGCACAACAGGAGATTATATCCCACACCTGGCTCAGCGGGTCCCACTCCCATGGAGCCTTGCTCACTGCTAGTCTGAGATCGAACTGTGAGGCAGCAAGCCTGGCTGGGGAGGGGCGTCTGCCATTGCTGAGGCTTGAGTAGATAAACAAAGCTACCGGGAAGCTTGAACTGGGTGGAGCCCACCACAGCTCAAAAAGGTCAACCTGCCTCTGTAGACTCCACCTCTGGGGGCAGGGCATAGCTGAACAAAATGCAGCAGAAACTTCTGCAGACTTAAACGTCCCTGTCTGACAGCTCTGAAGAGAGCAGTGGTTCTCCCAGCACAGTGTTTGAGCTCTGAGAACAGACAGACTGCCTCCTCAAGAGGGTCCCTGACCCCCGTGTAGCCTAACTTGGAGACACCTCCCATTTGGGGCAGACTGACACCTCATACAGCCGGGTGCCCCTCTGAGACAAACTTCCAGGGAAAGGATCAGGCAGCAATATTTGCTGTTCTACAGCCTTTGCTGGTGATACCCAGGCAAACAGGGTCTGGAGTGGACGTCCAGCAAACTCCAACAGACCTGTAGCTGAGGGACTGACTGTTAGAAGGAAACTAACAAACAGAAAGGAATAGCATCAACATCAACAAAAGGGACATCCACACCAAAACCCTATTTGTAGGTCACCATCATCAAAGACCAAAGGTAGATAAAACCACAAAGATGGGGAGAAACCAGAGCAGAAAAGCTGAAAATTCTAAAAACCAGAGCGCCCCTTCTCCTCCAAAGACTGCAGCTCCTCACCAGCAACAGAATAAAGCAGGACGGAGAAGGACTTTGATGAGTTGACAGAAGTAGGCTTCAGAAAGTCGGTAATAACAAACTTCTCTGAGCTAAAGCAGGATGTTTGAACCCATTGCAAGGAAGCTAAAAACCTTGAAAAAAGATTAGATGAATGGCTAATTAGAATAAACAGTGTAGAGAAGACCTTAAATGACCTGATGGAGCTGAAAACCATGGCATGAGAACTACGTGATGCACGCACAAGCTTCAGTAGCCGATTCGATCAAGTGGAAGAAAGGGCATCAGTGATTGAAGGTCAAATTAATGAAATGAAGCAAGAAGAGAAGTTTAGAGAAAAAAGAGTAAAAATAAACAAACAAAGCCTCCAAGAAATATGGGACTATGAAAAAAGACCAAATCTACATTTGATTGGTGTACCTGAAAGTGACTGGGAGAATGGAACCAAGCTGGAAAACACTCTTCAGGAATTATCCAGGAGAACTTCCCCAACCTAGCAAGGCAGGCCAACATTCAAATTCAGGAAATACAGAGAACACCACAAAGATACTCCTTGAGAAGAGAACCCCAAGACACGTAATTGTCAGATTCACCATGACTGAAATGAAGGAAAAAACGCTAAGGGCAGCCAAAGAGAAAGGTCGGGTTACCCACAAAGGGAAGCCCATCAGACTGACAGTGGATCTCTCGGCAGAAACCCTACAAGCCAGAAGAGAGTGGGGGCCAATATTCAACATTCTTAAAGAAAAGAATTTTCAACCCAGAATTTCATATGCAGCCAAGCTATGCTTCACAAGTGAAGGAGAAATAAAATCCTTTACAGACAAGCAGATGCTGAGAGATTTTGTCACCACCAGGCCTGCCTTACAAGAGCTCCTGAAGGAAGCACTAAACATGGAAAGGAACAACCAGTACCAGCCACTGCAAAAACATGCCAAATTGTAAAGACTATTGATGCTAGGAAGAAACTGCATCAACTAACGGACAAAATAACCAGCTAACATCATAATGACAGGATCAAATTCACACATAACAATATTAACCTTAATGTAAATGGGCTAAATGCCCCAATTAAAAGACACAGACTGGCAAATTGGATAAAGAGTCAAGACCCATCAGTGTACTGTATTCAGGAGACCCATCCCACGTGCAGAGACACACATAGGCTCAAAATAAAGGGATGGAGGAAGATCTACTAAGCAAATGGAAAGCAAAAAAAAAAAAGAGCAGGTGTTGCAATCCTAGTCTCTGATAAAACAGACTTTAAACTAACAAAGATCAAAAGAGACAAAGAAGGCCACTATATAATGGTAAAGGGATCAATTCAACAAGAAGAGCTAACTATCCTAAATATATATGCACCCAATACAGGATCACCCAGATTCATAAAGCAAGTCCTGAGAGACCTATAAAGAGACTTAGACTTCCGCACAATAATAATGGGAGACTTTAACACCCCACTGTCAATATTAGACAGATCAACGAGACAGAAGGTTAACAAGGATATCCGGGACTTGAACTCAGCTCTGCACCAAGCAGACCTAATAGACATCTACAGAATTCTCCACCCCAAATCAACAGAATATACATTCTTCTCAGCACCACATTGCACTTATTCCAAAATTGACCACGTAGTTGGAAGTAAAACACTCCTCAGCAAATGTAAAAGAACAGAAATCACAACAAACTGTCTCTCAGACCACAGTGCAGTCAAATTAGAACTCGGGATTAAGAAACTCACTCAAAACCGCACAACTACATGGAAACTGAACAACCTGCTCCTGAATGACTACTGGGTAAATAACGAAATGAAGGCAGAAATAAAGATGTTCTTTGAAACCAATGAGAACAAAGATACAACATACCAGAATCTCTGGGACACATCCAAAGTAGTGTGTAGAAGGAAATTTACAGCACTAAATACCCACAAGAGAAAGAAGGAAAGATCTAAAATCGACACCCTAACATCACAATTAAAAGAACTAGAGAAGCAAGAGCAAACACATTCAAAAGCTAGCAGAAGGCAAGAAATAACTAAGATCAGAGCAGAACTGAAGGAGATAGAGACACAAAAAAACCCTTCAAAAAATCAATGAATCCAGGAGCTGGTTTTTTGGAAAGATCAACAAAATTGATAGACTGCTAGCAAGACTAATAAAGAAGAAGAAGAGAGAAGAATCAAATAGACGCAATAAAAAATGATAAAGGGAATATCACCACCGATCCCACGGAAATACAAACTACCATCACAGAATACTATAAAAAGCTCTAGGCAAATAAACTAGACCCTCCCAAGACTACACCCTCCCAAGACTAAACCAGGAAGAAGTTGAATTGCTGAAGAGACCAATAACAGGCTCTGCAATTGAGGCAATATTTAATAGCCTACCAACCAAAAAAAGTCCAGGACCAGATGGATTCACAGCCAAATTCTACCAGAGGTACAAAGAGGAGATGGTACCATTCCTTCTGAAACTATTCCAATCAATAGAAAAAGAGGGAATCCTCCCTAACTCATTTTATGAGGCCAGCGTCATCCTGATACCAAAGCCTAGCAGAGACACAACAAAAATAGAGAATTTTAGACCAATATCCCTGATGAACATTGATGCGAAAATCCTCAATAAAATACTGGCAAACCGAATCCAGCAGCACATCAAAAAGCTTATCCACCAAGATCAAGTTGGCTTCATCCCTGGGATGCAAGGCTTGTTCAACATATGCAAATCAATAAACGTAATCCCTCATATAAATGGAACCAAAGACAAAAACCACATGATTATCTCAATAGATGCAGAAAAGGCCTTTGACAAAATTCAACAGCTCTTCATGCTAAAAAAATCTCAATAAACTAGGTATTGATGGAACGTATCTCAAAATAATAAGAGCTATCTATGACAAACCCACAACCAGTATTATACTGAATGGGCAAAAACTGGAAGCATTCCCTTTGAAAACTGGCACAAAACAGGGATGCCCTCTCTCACCACTCCTATTCAACATACTGTTGGAAGTTCTGGCCAGGGCAATCAGGCAACAGAAAGAAATAAAGGGTATACAATTAGGAAAAGAGGAAGTCAAATTTTCCCTGTTTGCAAACGACATGATTGTATATTTAGAAAACCCCATCGTCTCAGCCAAAAATCTCCTTAAGGTGATAAGCAACTTCAGCAAAGCCTCAGGATATAAAATCAATGTGCAAAAATCACAAGCATTCTTTTACACCAATAACAGACAAACAGAGTTTCAAATCATGAGTGAACTCCCATTCACAATTGCTACAAAGAGAGTAAAATACCTAATACCTAGGAATCCAACTTACAAGGGATGTGAAGGAACTCTTTAAGGAGAACTACAAACCACTGCTCAACAAAATAAAAGAGGACACAAACAAATAGAAGAACATTCCAAGCTCATGGATAGGAAGAATCAATATTGTGAAAATGGCCACACTGCCCAAGGTAACTTATAGATTCAATGCCATCCCCATCAAGCTACCAATGACTTTCTTCATAGAATTGGAAAACACTACTTTAAAGTTCATATGGAACCATAAAAGAGTCTGCATTGCCAAGACAATGCTAAGCAAAAAGAACAAAGCTGGAGGCATCACGCTACCTGACTTCAAACTATACTACAAGGCTACAGTAACCAAAACAGCATGTACTGGTACTGGTACCAAAACAGAGATACAGACCAGTGGAACAGAACAGAGGCCTCAGAAATAACACCACACATCTACAACCATCTGATCTTTGACAAACCTGACAAAAACAAGAAATGGGGAAAGGATTCCCTATTTAATAAATGGTGCTGGGAAAACTGGCTAGCCATATGTAGAAAGCTGAAACTGGATCCCTTCCTTACACCTTATACAAAAATTAATTCAAGAGGGATTAAAGACTTAAATGTTAGACCTAAAACCATAAAAACCCTAGAAGAAAACCTAGGCAATACCATTCAGGACATAGGCATGGGCAAGGACTTCATGACTAAAACACCAAAAGCAATGACAACAAAAGCCAAAATAGACAAATGGGATCTAATTAAACTAAAGAGCTTCTGCACAGCAAAAGAAACTATCATTAGAGTGAACAGAGAACCTACAGAATGGGAGAAAATTTTTGCAATCTACTCATCTGACAAAGGGCTAATATCCAGAATCTACAAAGAACTTAAACAAATTTACAAGAAAAAAACAAGCAATCCCATCAACAAGTGGGCAAAGGATATGAACAGACACTTCTCAAAAGAAGACATTTATGCAGCCAACAGACAAAAGAAAAAATGCTAATCGTCACTGGTCATCAGAGAAATGCAAATCAAAACCACAACGAGATACCATCTCACACCAGTTAGAATGGTGATCATTAAAAAGTCAGGAAACAACAGGTGCTGGAGAGGATGTGGAGAAATAGGAATGCTTTTACACTGTTGGTGGGAGTGTAAATTAGTTCAACCACTGAGGAAGACAGTGTGGTGATTACTCAAGGATCTAGAACTAGAAATACCATTTGACCCAGCGATCCCTTTACTGGGTAGATAGCCAAAGGATTATAAATCATGCTACTATAAAGACATATGCACACGTATGTTTAATGTGGCACTATTCACAATAGCAAAGACTTGGAACCAACCCAAATGTCCATCTATGATAGACTGGATTAAGAAAATGTGGCACATATACACCATGGAATACTATGCAGCCATAAAAAATGATGAGTTCATGTCCTTTGTAGCAACATGGATGAAGCTGGAAACCATCATTCTGAGCAAACTATCACAAGGACAGAGAAACAAACACTGCATGTTCTCACTCATAGGTGGGAATTGAAAATGAGAACCTTGGACATAGGGTAGGGAACATCACACACTGGGGCCTGTCGTGGGGTGGGGGGATGGGAGAGGAATAGCATTAGGAGAAATACCTAATGTAAATGACGAGTTAATGGGTGCAGCAAACCAACATGGCACATGTATACGTATGTAACAAACCTGCATGTTGTGCACATGTACCCTAGAACTTAAAGTATAATAATAAAAAAAATCATATGGAAAACCATTTAATCTCATTAGTAGTCAAAGGAGTACACAGTAGACATCATTGAGATGCAATTTATCAAAATGACAATGCTGTATATACATATTTATAATAGATAAATATTTACAAAAGGTATACATATATTTACTATCTATTCACAATACAGTTATATTTATAATATATATTCACAATACATATATGTATTTACTATAACAATAGAGGTTTAAGAAAGTGAACAGAAATAGGATAGACAGGTAAAGCTTTTTTGGAGGAAAATTTGGCAGTATGTTTCAAAAGCCTAATAAATGAACTTCCTTTTAAACATAACTTCACATCCAAAAATTAAGCTTAAGAGTTCCTTCAGAAAAGAAGAAAGTCAGTACAATTGAGAGGGGCACAGGGTAACCTCTGACATGCTGGTAATGTTCTAAGTCTTGATTTCAGAGGTGTGTGTGTAAGCCTGTTAATACTGAGATAATTTATCAAGTTTTATCCTTAAAATTTCTGCACTTTCAAAAAGAGTGTAACAAAAACATCTCGAGAAACAAAGAATGTAGCCTAGCAAAACAAATGGATTTATACAACATTTAGCAAGAGGGATACTTATGATAGCATTGTTTTCAGTGGGGAAAAAATAAAACTAAAATTAATCTAAATATGTAGCTCACTGGGAAATGATGATAGCAATTGCTTAAATTACAAATAATGGGATATCATAAAAAATTAAGCCACAGAAATATGTTTGTGCATACCATTAAGTAAAAAGGGAAGCAAGTAATATGTTCTACACACTATATATGCAAAGGAAGTGTAAAAATATTGCTTCCTGATGTTAAAAGTGGTTATTTCTGCATGGTGGGATTCTAGGTCATGTTATTATAAATATGGACCATTTTAAAAAAAGAAGCAATTCAATGTTTTCTCCTGTGAAGTTTTGTCCAACTTTCAAATAGCAGGATCACTTCCTCATTTGTGTGCCTGTGATACTCTCTATTATAGCTTTTTTCCCACTATGTTACCTTTATTTGTTTAACTATCTACTTACTCCCCTAACATATTTTTGAGAGTAGTTATTGCCCCTGCTTCCTCCCCAAAGACTAGACTCTAGGTAACTGATCAGAAAATTTATCACAAGATGTGAATGGAAATGTTTTATTTCTATTACACACTTTCACAGATCCTGGAATAACGTAGATGCTCAGTAATGTCTGTCAAATATAAAGTGAAATGAACTGGCATCAATGAGTCCACCTGTGGTCATAACATATCCTGACCTGGAAGACCTCATTCTCCTTGTCACCAGGAAACTTCGTCTTGACCCTCTTGAGGCTGGGGGCATCCCAAAAGTGAGTGCTTTGTATCCTAAGCACGGTGCAGACGCCTGAGTCCAGCCCACCTCAACACAGGGGATTGGGCTGTGTGGCCCTTGGCATTCAGCCCTGCCTGCCTTATCCCCAAGCTGGGATAAGTACACCAAGAATTGTCTTTGTTACTACAGACATATGAATTAAACGGACCAAGGTGATATGTGATCAGTGCAAGACAGCAGTAATTATCCTTCCTTGGCTTTCTAAAAAATGGTCTCCAAAAACAAAATCTTTCATTCGATTATTCAACCATCATTTAATGAGTTCCTAGATTGTGACAGATTCTGTTCTGAGCACTGGGGACATGAGTGAATGATGCCGAGAGAACCTGCCTCGTGGTGCCTATGTTCCAGTGGGGAAGACAGATAACAAATCAGCTAAATAAATGTGGCGATGACAACTGTTAATGAGAAAAAGTAAATCAGCAAGGAGTATAGAATCTATCTTGAATAATAGATCATACACCTTCCATTTTAGATCCTCACCAAACCTAATTAAACTATCTAATTAATATATATTCCTCAGAACCAAATATAACTCCAATTCTACATTAAAATGGAATATATAATAAAATATAGGTATATATACACATATATAAGCAAATGTACATATATATGTCTTAAAACACATACTTGAATATAGTCGTCAATATGCCTTCTATACATTAGACAAATATATGAAATACATGCTTAATGAATTAACTCTTGATACATTTTAAGCTAAAAAATAAAGTAACTGTGAAATCTGTTCAAAATGCAAATCTATCCTTCCATAATCACAGAAGTGTAGAGATATTTAATATTAAGTTGAGTCATTTATTTGCACCGGAAGTTGCTAATAGGTGAGTCCATGGATTTTTCTTGCCTGGAATTTTATTTTGTTTACTCTGGGAAATTCAAAAGAGTACAAGTCAATAATTTTGTTAATTGGCAGCTTTCACTTAAAAATTGAGAATGTTAGTCTCTTTTTAAAAAAATAGAGTAAGTGGAAACAGTAAATCAGCAACCCCGCATGGCAGCAGCTGGCTGGAACTGAGTAACGATGTCTTACACATCAGGGCCACTGGCCCAAGTGTGGCTCCACCACTGAGCTGACTGACTGTCAGCTGTGGTTTATCTTCATACTTGCTTCCTGTCCGCACCTCCCTCAAGGGGGGACATGAAAGGGAACCATACGGGAATACGTTTAGAAGAAAAACATAGGGTCAACATAGCACTTTATAAAAGTAAACAATATGTCTATAACTTTACCATACAAAAACAAAACAAAACAATCCTTCCCACCCACACATGCTACCTGCCTAGGTCCTGCAGGCATACAGTTTTGTGATCTCTACGCAAAGCTGTCTCACCTGGACCAGGACAGTTGCCCAGGCACTGAAGAACCGCAAACATCAGGCTCTTCTCCTTCAAGTGTTTACGATAGAGATATGTGGAAGAATTGGAGAGTACGATAAGACAGTAAATTAATATAATTACAGGAGTGGTGCAGGTACTAAAATCTATGGGTCATCTAAATTGGCTGAAGCTTCCTGAGATTTAAAAGGATCCCATTTTTATTAAAGAAAGATAAACATCAGAAGGCCGAGGCAGGAGGATTGATTGAGTTTGAGGAGGTGGAGGCGGTAGTGAGCTGTGATCACACCACTGAACACCAGCCTGGGTGTCAGAGCAAGACCTTGTTAAAAAAAAAAAAAAAAAGATTAAAATAATTAAAATTAAAGAATTCCTTCAATACCAAAATAGTTCTATCAGAAGCAAGTTGTTAATTCATTGTGTTGAGTATTGCAGAGCCCCTGAGAATATTAATCATTGAATCAATAGGCTCTAGAATTTTTAAGTGTGTTATAACAAAAATAAATGCAATAAAGAGAGCAGGATGACACCTTTGGAGGAAATGGGTAGATTTATGGTCTTGATTGTGGTGGTGCTTTCATCAATGGTGATCAGTTTATCTCCAAACTCATCCTGTTGTATACACTAAATATGTACAGCTTTTTATAGGTCTAATCATATATTAATAAAGTGGTTTAAAAACTGCTTGGTAGGCTAGGCACAGTGGCTCACTTCTGTAATTGTAGCACACTTGGGAGGCCAAGGTGGGAGGATCCCTTGAGCCCAGGAGTTTGAGATCAGCCTGGGCAACATCGTGAGAACCTGTCTCTGAAAAAAAAAAAAAAAATTAGCCAGATGTGCTGGTGCATGCCTGTAGTCCCAGCTACTTGGGAGGCTAGGGTGGGGAGATTACTTGAGCCCAGGAAGCAAAGGGTGCAGTTTGCAGAGATCACACCACTGCACTCCAGACTGGGCAACATCGCAAGACCCTGTCTCTAAAAAAAAAAAAAATTACTTGGAGATTCAGTGTCTCCTAAGAATATTTTCAGAAGCTATCTGAGAAAGAAGTCAACATCTCTCTTAGAGAAAGGGGATAAATAATGAGAAAATGCTGAGGTTAATAAGGCAATATAGAAGCAAGGGTGTGTATGTTTTTCCATTTTCACATTTATATGGGTTTTCAGGAAACAACTAACAGCCAGATCAAAGCTAGTCCAGTCATTCCAACACCAAGTCTGTTGGTGGGAGCTAAAAGGCATCCGTGAGCCTTTCATATCTGCTGTAACATGCCCCTCTGACTCCCTCCTCCCCCTCTTTGCTGTTATTTAAAAGGAGAGACAAATGGCCAGCCACGTAAATCATGCAGTATTGAAAAGGTCACACTAACAGAGCTGGTGACTGCCTTTGAGAGCATGTTGGAAGGATTTAAAACCTCATTACTCTGTCCAGGATTGTAAAGAGAAAATGATAACAGGAGTTTCAAGAACAGCTGAAAATGGAATAGTCGACCATTTTCTTGTTACAGTGAAAATGCAGATGCTGACACAATGCCAAGCCCAGATGCCACTGCCTCAGGTACGGTCGAGAGACTGTGGACATCCCATTAGAGAGACCGCTCACCCCTCCCCAGAACCCTGCACGGGGAGAAGTCAGCGGCAATGACAGCCTGGACCAGATGCCAGGACTCAAATCTTGATCTTGTCAGTAGCGGACATACTCACCTATAAGTTAGAAAAGTTTTGTGTTAATGAAAACACTGAAATAAAATGTATCACAGAAGCTCTACCCATCACCTTCCTCTCCTTTCCAGATTTTCATTCTCCATTTCATGGACTTTATCCTTCCTACAACCCACAGTAATACTCTCAACACTTCTTCGTTTGAGGACATTTCTAACTCTTGTTCACCTCCAAGTTCACTCCCAAGGAATTCACTTCCCCCCATATTTCTGATTGAAGAGTGTTTAATTACAGTATCTCACCTCCATGATCAGAACCAGCGTTGGAAATCGTAAGGCTCTTTTTGTGGAAAGGAATTGAAAACCTTATTATAAGATCCCATGTTCAACATCTTTTATTGTGAGAAATACTGAGTAGAATCCCTGACTCTGAAAATGTCCTGTTCTGCACAGACTGAGAAGTTACCCCCCAATAACAAAACTTAAGAATTCCTTAATTCAGAAAAGTTCTGATATGGGAAACCCTGGATTTTCATGAGAAAAGAAATCCCATAGTTTTGTCTGATACATGTATAACATCATTCAATTTACAAAAATGTCATTTATTCATGATTTTTATCAGAACCTCTACCTAGGAATATCTGTTAGGATAGATAAGCAGGAGGTGAAAATAAAATCCCTCCAGCATCCAGGCAGGTAGCATGAATCACGGAAGCAGCTTCACGGTAAATGATGGGGAATGCCATCAACCGTGGTGAATGGGACTGAACCCCGTCCAGCCAAATCCACAGCTACTGATCAGATGGATGTGGGCATTGCCAGGTGGGAACACTGACACAGTATTTGAATTTTCAAATTGTTTAAGAAAAACAACAAATTTTGAATCTCGTAACTTTTCAATATTGGTAACTAATTAAACATGTTTAAAACAAACAAAGAAAATCTTGATTATGTGACTTTGATTCCACTGGAAAGGCACTGAAGTTGGTCTGTATTGCTTTTTATTTGTTTAAATGTTTTAAATATATAGATTTTTAGGATACAGCTGTTGTCCTGTTTTGCATCATGTTCTAATCCTTATTAAAAGCTCTTTCTTGCTCCATAGGCTCTGCCAAAAGTTAGAAATAGGTTTCATCTCAGTTATCACTTCCAATCAATCAGAGAGGCAGCCTCAGATTTCTGTCTGCAGAAGAAATGGGCCCTAGCTGGAAGGAGTGCTGGGATTGATTAGTGATGTCTTCCATGAGCACATGAGGTGGGTGGTGACATGCACATCTTGTCTCTGCCATTCTGGGCTCCTAAATTAAGTCCAAATTCCAACACGTTTCAAAGTATTTGAAGACTCTACTTACATTTATAGTCTCACACACTGCCACTTCTTCTCCCCAGAATGCACCTTATCAAAAAGACCCTTCCCCTGCACAAATGAACAAGAAGAGATGAATCACGCATCACGTTCCCACATTTCTCCAAACTTTTGATATGAGTCCAACAACCTGACATACTGTCCTTGCTCTTGTTTGCTGGGTGAACCCCTACTCAAATAGCACCTCCTCTGTATGTCTGTCCTGAATCTTTGTTCTTAATTCCTACATTTTCCATTATACTTCATTCCTATATCAACAGAAGAGTTTTTGAAACTGTATTATGTCTCCCATAATACAGCATGAGCCATTCAAGGTCATAAGTCATGTCTTAATTATGTGAGTATGCCTAATAACTAACCAATAACAAATTCAGTGTTAGTTGAATAAATGCATGCGTAAATAAAGCAATTATCTTCTAATATAAAAAACATTTTAACAATGGCATCTCTTAGGTCAAATTTTACCGAACTTCAGTTAGTCGTGTGGTACTTTCACAATTTCTGCCATGTCCACATCCCAAAAATTACTTAAATTTTTTAGTGTCACTAAAAGGAACACAGGATATCAGCTTTATTAGAAACTGAGAAACCCTATTGGTGATTAATGTGATCTGATCTTTCTTCCAACCACTGTGGCAGAAGGCAATGTTCACTTACTAAAATACTGTGCACATGGACACACCTATAATTCAAATAATAGCATATTTTGCATTGTCTTCATGTCATATTATTTTCTGGTAAACATTCAAATAAATATAGAAGTATTGATATAATTTTAAAAATTGCCCCTTTACTACCAGAAACATTTTATAAACCTACAGAGTCCCACTAGCCATGTTTGAGGAAACAATGATTTCAGTGATTTGTTTCTTCAAAGCACACAATGTGTCCATTTGCAAGGCTTTTTGACACATCACAGGAATGATCCATTAATCATGTTGAAGATGACACTGATTTGAGGATATCTATTTTATGGATGATGAAGTAGAAGCCCTAGGAATACAGCATTTCCTCTTAGCATCTGACAATAGCTCTAATGGAGGTGGTGATACACAAATCTTATGCCCTAAGTGCCAGTCACCAACACCCTGTGCACACCAGATTTATTTTAACCAGATCACAGCCTCCTTTTGTCCTTTACAAATGGCATTGATTATTGATTCTCCCCTTTCTCACAGAGAAGTACAACTCAAAATCATAGCAATCATTTTTAATAAATGGACGCCTACGCCCAGTGTCCCCTGCCACAAGAGGCCATTTGCCCCATTACACGCCACAGCAGGTAGGCAGACTAGGTGTCTTCCAGGCCTAGAAGAGTACACAGGGGCAGAATGTTCTTTGGAAGCCAGGGGCTGGTACCTGGCCTGGATTTTACGCACACAGATTCTGTGTGTCATCCTAGTGCCACTCCCTTGAGACAGCAAGAACACAGTTAGCTGTTCCAAAAACAGCCAAAGGAAACTCACCCAGGAAATGCCATCATCCTGCAACTGTATAGAGTCTACTGCAGTCCAAAACTTGATTTCACGCCTAACCCCCAAGATTCCTGCCTTGCGCTAAAATCTCAACCGCTTTGCTTCTTTGATCTCTCCTTTATCTCAATAATAGTTATAATTAAGATAAAAGGGAAATACCACCTTTGATATAAGCTATCACATTTTAAAATCATTTCATAAAATTACTTTGGTGACTTCTAAACCTTAGCCATTTGTGCATTGTAGCGAAAGTTTTTGCCATGTTCTTATATCACCTTTTATCTTAATTCTTTTAAGAATTTCCTTTAAATTGGCATTGCTCTTTTCTATTTAACAAAACTCTGGAGAACTCATTATGAAAGTGGATGTTGTATATGATAGCTTTATGGTTTTCATATAAATATGTATATATATGTATATATATGTGTGTGTGTGTATATATATATATATATACACACACACACACACATATATATATACATATATACATACATATATACAGGCAATCACCCAAGTATTGGAATTTTTTAAGAAGCTGATCTCAGCACCTTCTAAAATAATTATCACCTTGCTAATCCACATCCTGCCAAAAATTTCATTTATTTTCAAGAATTCTCTTAAAATTCTCTCCTAATTAAAATCCTCCAGTAGTTTTTTTAGTGACTATAGGCTACAGTCCAAACGCCTTGGCTTAGCTAGAGTGACCGTCACAATTTAGCTTCTATGTGTACTTCCAAACTCACATCTTCACCCATTTCCTATCTTTTTTTGGGTGGTTGGTAACTAGCTGATTCACTCTTATATAAACATCAACGACAAGCTCAACCCTTGCCCAAGTCACCAAAATAGAGTTTAGTAACAACCTGTGCTAATTTTCTTTTCTTTCACACCTAAATTCTGAAAGAAGGCCTAAGTATACTTAAAAAAAAAAAAAAAAAAAAAAAAAAAGGGGCCTGTTTTTTAAGATATCCCAGACTCAATGGATAAGTTTGGAAACAATTTAGTCTTTACCTTGCTTTCCTGAACCAAAAGCCTTTGCAGAACTGATCTCTTTTTTTTTTTTTTCTTGTGACTGCATGGCAATCCTCTTGTTTACTTCTAGTCAGGGATGGTTATACACAGGAGTGGGCACAGGACCCAACAGAACACGCCAACGGCTTCAGTACAGCCCCCTTTGCCCTCTGTAGCCATTAGGCCAGGGTTGGCAACTGAGGCTGAGTGATAAGGTTTGGCTCTGTCCCCACCCAAATTTCATCTTGAATTGTAGTTCCCGTAATCCCCATGTGTCATGGAGGAGACCCAGTGGGAGGTAACTGAATCATGGGGGTGGTTTCCCCCGTGCTATTCTCATGATAGTGAGTAAGTTCTCACAAGATCTGATAGTTTTGTAAGAGGCTTCCCCCTTCGCTCAGCTCTCATTCTTCTCTCTCCTGCCACCATGTGAAGGACATGTTTGCTTCCCTTTCTGCCGTGATGGTAAGTTTCCTGAGGCCTCCCCAGCCATGCAGAACTGTGAGTCAATTAAACCTATTTCCTTTATAAATTACCCAGTCTCAGTCAGTTCTTCTTATCAGGGTAAGAATGGACTAATACACTGAGCCAATTCTCTGTCCTAAGAAGTTTTGAACTGATGCTGGTAAGAAAAAATTATTTTCTTCTTTTGTTGTAAGGCTATACAAATATAAACCTAGGTCTGCACTTGGCTTTGATCCTTGCCTAATGGAGAAGTTCCTCTGGAGAAATGAAACTCATTAAAAAATGCAAAAACAGAAGTGACCTCTCCTGACATAGATCCTTTTCTTGTCACTCTCACCATGAAGGTCTCAATCTTTTGCAATTTGCTTTGAGAGTGAATATATTCCTTTTTGCCCATTTCTTTTGAGAGCAGACTTAGATTGACCTTGCCACTTATTATGAGAAAACTGGATTAATTCACTTTTATGTCTAATTGTGAAGGCCATACCCTGAGGCTGAATACTCTGCTCTTCTCCTTGAGGCGAATAAATATTGAAAGAAATAAATGTTGACACCACACAGCATCTATACTACAAAAGAGGAAGGTTTACTTGAAGTAAATTGATTTTTATTTGCACATTGCCTATACTGAAGCAAATGTCAAGTGCATTTCCTTCTTCCTTTTATTTTGTTCTTATTCTTGTAATTGTTACAGCTTCATCTTTACAGTTAGATCTTGGAACTACAGGGCCCATTAGACCTGACTTTCTGATATAACTCTATTAAGGTTTCATGTTTTATTCAGACTAGAAATGTAGGCCTATTGATTTAACTTTAAATAGCACATTATTCGATTAGAGTAGATGTTTGCTTTTCTGTAATTTGCAGGCTCTGTGTGTCTAACAGGGTTTCGTCACCAAAGTCATATAGATTGGTGCAAATCACCGATTTTTCAGTGGACTAGTGAACAATGCAGAACACACGTAGATTCCTGTCTCATCAACCTGAAGGGATATCTTCTTCAACAAGTAAGGCCTGTATCTGGGTTTTTGTCCATGTGCTTCACTTTCAACAAAACAGGCAAAATGTAATTGCTCTTTAAAGAGAATAGCTCTAATGTGTTGGTGTGGACCAACATGTAAGTGTTTACACTTCTCCACTGTTTTTTTGTAGAGAACCAAAATCTCCTAGTGCTTTCTCCTTCAACTTGCATGTGTATCACAATTCCTCAGCCATCATTGTAAAACTGTTGTTCAGTCAAATCGCTGTGCCTCCCAACATCTACACACTACAAAGCGCCCTTCTTCCCAGCTCCAGTTAAGAATCTTGAGATCTATTAAGTCTTTTATAAATTTTGTAGGAAATATCATGGCTGGCAGTGCACACCTGACAGAACACATATCCTGGAGTAAGGCAAACTCAAACTCAACATCTGTTTCCATTAGACACTAAACCTCTTTGAGCCTTAATCTCTCTGTCCATAAAATTGAGATATTATTTACCATAGAGGATTACCATGACCTTTACATAAAATAACCAACCTAGAAGATATTCTAGGAGATTGTCAAACACCTGCAAGTTATTAAAAAAATTTAAGTCTCCATTCCCTCCAATTATGATTTGAGAGAGGTGAAGGACAATCTGAAAAAAAAGGTGGGGGGGGCGCATGGGAGGAGGTTGGTAACTTTCTAACAAGTAATTCTTTTTTTTTTTTTGGAGACAGAGTCTCGCTCTGTTGCCCAGGCTGGAGTGCAATGATGCGATCTCGGCTCACTGCAACTTCTGCCTCCTGGGTTCAAGCAATTCTCCTGCCTCAGCCTCCCGAGTAGCTGGGACTACAGGCGCCCACCACCATGCCTGGCTAATTTTTGTATATTTAGTAGAGACGGGGTTTCACCATGTTGGCCAGGCTGGTCTTGAACTCCTTACCTTGTGATCCACCTGCCTTGGCCTCCCAAAGTGCTGGGATTACAGGCATGATCCACAGCACCCGGCCTAACAAGTAATTCTTAATAAAAGATTAGACACATGTTCATTTGGATTGAATGTCTCTGAGTATATAATATGGTCCTAATATTTGCTATAGAAGGTAGAATAGTGTTGGGTGCTCTCTGATCATAGGATGATGATGGAAAATTGTAATGGTCTCTCTTTGCAATTATATAATAGCATATATTTATACACTGTGAGAGGAATCCTCCTTGAAGTACCTAGGGCTCATGAGAATTTACTCGTGTGAGTTACTTGAACCAGAAGAGTAAACTGAAGCCAGAGATGGTAAGTGGTTCAATAACATCAAGCATCAAAGTGGCAAACCATCATCTCCTGACACCATAGTCTATGGTTTTATTTTTTCCTGCCAATCCTTTACAAATAAAATACATCCAAACAAAAACAATGTGTAATCATAATAACTATTGACATTTATTCATGGCTCACCTTATGTCAGACCTTGTAATAGTGTTTTAAATTTGCTGCCTTGCTTCCACTATCTTGTTTACACAGTCAATACTCTCTGCTACAGACCCAGTATAGGAGAGAACAGTTGTTTCGGCCCCAGTATTAGCTACGGCAAAATAACTGGGGAACCACAGCCAGCAAATCTGCAGATTTTCTTAGCATTAGTATTAGAACCTCACCAGGCTTTCAATAACGAGTAGGAAAAATGTACAGGCCAAACAAGTTGGTTTTCAGACAAAGGGAAAGCTCGGAAAATGGATAACTAACATGTTTTTGCACAATTATATTCACAAGAAAATAAATCAGGACTGCAACTCACATATTCATTCAATGATGCACTCTAAATATAATGGACACTATTTGATTTATTTGTCATTCTGTGCTTGGTAACATATTTATCGGGAAATTATAAGGTTGAAAGCCTTGGTTAATAACAATGGCTGTCGGCAGGCCAGAGCACCACAAGTTGACTTTATTGGACAGTACTTTGGGACCAATGCTTTAATTTAAAAAATGTGATAAAAATCATGTGAGATTTGGAAAACTTGGCTTGAGAAGTGATCAGTAACATAAAGACTCTTAGTTTTGTTTTGTTTTTTTCTTTTCAACTTTCATTTTGGATTCAGGAGGTATATGTGAAGGTTCATTACATGTGTAAATTGCATGTTGCTGAGGTTTGGTGTATGGATAATCCCATCACCCGGGTATTGAGCAGAGTATCCCACAGGTAGTTTTTCAGCCCACATGTCCCTCTTTCCCTCTCCCCTCTAATAGTCCCCAGTGCCTATTGTTCCCATCTTTATGTCCATGTGTACTCAATGTTTAGCTCCCACTTATAAGTGAGATCATGTGGTATTTGGTTGTCTGTTCCTGCATTAATTCATTTAGGATAATGGCCTTCAGGCAGCTTCCATGTTGCTGCAAATGACATGATTTTATTCTTTTTAATGGCTTCCTAGAGTTCCACTGTGCACACATACCACATTTTCTTTATCAGATCCACTGTTGATGGGCATGTAAGTTGACTCCAGGTCTTTGCTATTGTAAATAGTGCAGAAGTAAACATCCAAATGCACATGTCTTTTTGGTATACACCCAGTAATGGGACTGCTGGGTTGAATGGTAGTTCTGTTTTAGGTTCTTTGAGAAATCTTGACACTGCTTTCTACAGTGGCTGAAGTAATTTGCATTCTTACCAACAGTGTGTAAGCATTCCCTTTTCTCTGTAGCCTGGCAAACATATGTTATTTGTTTAACTTTCTAAAAATCACCATTCTGACAGCTGTGAGATGTTCTTTCATTGTGGATTTGATTTGCCTTTCTCTGATGATTAGTGATGATGAGCATTTTTTTCATATATTTTTTGACCACTTGAATGTCTTCTTTTGAGAAGTGTTTATTCATGTCTGTTGCCCACTTTTAAAATTTGATTATTTGTTTTTTGCTTGTTAATTTGTTTAAGTTCCTTATAGATTCCGGATATCAGACCTTTGTCAAGTGCATAGTTTTCAAATATTTTCTCCCATTCTGTAGGTTGTCTGTTTAGTCTGTTGATAATTTCTTTTGCTGTGCAGAACCTCTTTAGATGAATTAGGTCCCGCTTGTTAATTTTTATTTTGTTGCAATTTTTGTTTTTTTTTTTTTTTTTTGCAATAGCTTTATGCAACTTACTTTGCCATAAATTCTTAAACTATTCCAAAAAATCAAGAAGGGGCTCCTCCTTAACTTATTCTGGCAGAGACACAACAACAAAAAGAAGAAAAATTCAAGCTAATATCCCTGATGAACATAGATGCAAAAATCTTCAACAAAATGCCAGCAAACCAAATCCAGGAACACATCAAAAAGTTAATTCACCACAATAAAGTAGGCTTTACCCCTGGGATGTAAGGTTTATTCGACATACACAAATCAATAAATGTGAATCATGGCACAAGCAGAATAAAAAACAAAAATCAAATGATCATGTTAATACATGCAGAAAAAGACTTTAATAAAATCCAACACCTCATCATGATAAAAACCCTTAACAGAGTAGGCATCAAAGGAACATACATTAAAATAATAAGTACCATCTATGACAAACCTACAGCAAATATCATACAGAACAGACAAAAACTATAACCATCCACTTGGGAACTGAAATGAGACAAGGATGCCCACTCTCACCACTCCTGTTCAACACAGTACTGGAAGTCCTAGCCAGAGCAATCAGGCAAGATAAATAAATAAAATTCATCCAAATAGGAAAAGAAGAAGTAAAACTATCCCTCTTCATTGATGATATGATTCTATACCTAGAAAACCCTAAAGTCTCTCCCAAAAGGCTCCTACAAATGATAAGTAAATTCAATAACGTTTCAAGATACGAAATCAACATACAAAAATCGGTGGCATTTCTATACACCAATAGTGTTCTAGATGAGAGCCAAATCAAGAACACAATCACATTTAAAATAGCCACAAAAAATGAAGTACCTAGGTATTTATCTAACCAAGGAGGTGAAAGATCTCTGCAAGAAGAACTACAAAATACTCTTGAAAGAAAGCAGACATGACACAAATAAATGGAAAAATATACTCATGGATTGGAAAAATCAACATCATTTAAATGGACATACTTCCCAAAGCAATTTACAGATTCAATGCTATTTCTATCAAAATATCAATGCCATTTTTCATAGAATTAGAAAAAACTGTTTTAAAATTCACATGGAACTGAAAAACCCAGAATAGCGAAAGCATCCTAAACAAAAGTAACAAAGCTGTAAGCATCAAATCACCCAATTTCAGACTATACTATAAGGCTAAAATAACCAAAACAGCATGGTACAGGTACAAAAATAGACACGTAGGCCAATGGAACAAAATAAATAACCCAGAAATAAAGTGGAATGCCTACAGCCATTTGACCTTCAACCAAGTCAAAAAAAATAAGCAATGAGGAAAGGACTCCTTATTCAATAAATAGTGCTAGGATAATTGGCTAGGCATATGCAGAAAAATAAAACTGGACCCATACCTTTCACCATATACAAAAATTAACTCAAGATATACTAAATATTTAAATGTAAGACCTCAAACTATAAAAATCCTAGAAGAAAACCTAGGAAATACCCTTCTGCACATCGGCTTTGATAAAGACACTTTGTTACTTAACATATTTATTTGGGAGAGGCGGTCTTCAAGAAAGTTAAGACAATCCTTCAGGGAGGTAAAGAAATGAAAATTAAGAGGGCTGTTGGAATCTGTGTTATTTTCTTACCATTGTAGCTTTGTCCATAAGTGGTAGTGCTATTTCAATTGCAAATTAAATCCAAACAGCAGTTTGGAAGATGTAATTAGGAAAGAATGAATAAAGGATATGAATAGAAATGATCATTTTCTGCTAGCTGTCTGTCCACTTGACAATAGAAGTAGAAGAGAGACTTTCTTTTGTTTAATGAGTGTGCTGTGTAATCTGAATGTTTCCTTTGCTTTATACTCCTGTGGTGTTCTTAGCTTACTCTGATTTATATTTCTTCCAGTTCCTAGAGCCAGGAATACCTTCTGAGCATTCATATTCTCTGAGTGATATACATCAGTGAAAAGCCATTAAATTATCAAATCCCCTCCATATTTAGGGAACAACATGACTTAATCAGAGGCGTTATCTCTCCTCTTTGCCTCTATTGGTGCATTTTTTTTTTTTAGCTAAAAATGCATTGCAGGTTTTCATTTCTGATATTCCTTTGTATGTCCCTTAATTCCTAATATAAGTAGATTTATATTCAATTATTTGCCAAGTTTTAGAAAATATTTAGAAAAAAACAGAGGACACATTTTTATCTTTGACAATATCTTTAAACTCAGATCTTCCTTAAAACAAGTCATTTTGTGGACAATTCAAGAGCAGAAAAGTTAAAAGAAATAAAAAGTCCCTGAAATAAACAACCTCACTATTCACCAGGAGCTGTGCTCAGTGGAAAATTGCAGTGTTCTATTTATGTCGTAGGTAAAAGAATGTGTACCGGAGTTCAAACCATGATTCCGTTCCTCACCCTTTGTGTTAATCACAGGATAAATGACTTAACCTCTCTGTGCATCCCAACTATATCCCATAAAGAGTTTCCCATCTATAAAATGGGATTCATAATAGTAGTTAACTCAAGGTGGCATTGTGAGGATTAAACAAGTTAAAACATATGAATCACTGACAACAGTGCCTGGCACATTAGCACATAGTAAGTGCCCGATCAGTATAAAGCATCATTGATATTACATGCAAAGGTGATGCTATGGTTTGGATGTTTGTCTACCCAAACCTCACGTTGAAATTTGATCCCAATGTGGAGGTATGGTCTAGCGGGATGTGTTTGGGTCATGGGGGTGGATACTTCATGAATAGATTAATGCCATGTCCGTGGGGATTTGGGGGTGAGTGAGTTCTCACTCTATTAGTTTCCATAAGAGCTGGTTGTTAAAAAGGAGCCCGGGAAAAGTTCTTGCGGAGGAGCCAAGATGGCCGAATAGGAACAGCTCCGGTCTACAGCTCCCAGCGTGAGCGACGCAGAAGACGGTGATTTCTGCATTTCCATCTGAGGTACCGGGTTCATCTCACTAGGGAGTGCCAGACAGTGGGCGCAGGCCAGTGTGTGTGCGCACCGTGCGCGAGCCGAAGCAGGGCGAGGCATTGCCTCACCTGGGAAGCGCAAGGGGTCAGGGAGTTCCCTTTCCGAGTCAAAGAAAGGGGTGACGGACGCACCTGGAAAATTGGGTCACTCCCACCCGAATATTGCGCTTTTCAGACCGGCTTAAGAAACGGCGCACCACGAGACTATATCCCACACCTGGCTCGGAGGGTCCTACGCCCACGGAATCTCGCTGATTGCTAGCACAGCAGTCTGAGATCAAACTGCAAGGCGGCAACGAGGCTGGGGGAGGGGCGCCCGCCATTGCCCAGGCTTGCTTAGGTAAACAAAGCAGCCTGGAAGCTCGAACTGGGTGGAGCCCACCACAGCTCAAGGAGGCCTGCCTGCCTCTGTAGGCTCCACCTCTGGGGGCAGGGCACAGACAAACAAAAAGACAGCAGTAACCTCTGCAGACTTAAGTGTCCCTGTCTGACAGCTTTGAAGAGAGCAGTGGTTCTCCCAGCACGCAGCTGGAGATCTGAGAACGGGCAGACTGCCTCCTCAAGTGGGTCCCTGACTCCTGACCCCCGAGCAGCCTAACTGGGAGGCACCCCCCAGCAGGGGCACACTGACACCTCACACGGCAGGGTATTCCAACAGACCTGCAGCTGAGGGTCCTGTCTGTTAGAAGGAAAACTAACAACCAGAAAGGACATCTACACCGAAAACCCATCTGTACATCACCATCATCAAAGACCAAAAGTAGATAAAACCACAAAGATGGGGAAAAAACAGAACAGAAAAACTGGAAACTCTAAAACGCAGAGCGCCTCTCCTCCTCCAAAGGAACGCAGTTCCTCACCAGCAACAGAACAAAGCTGGATGGAGAATGATTTTGACGAGCTGAGAGAAGAAGGCTTCAGACGATCAAATTACTCTGAGCTACGGGAGGACATTCAAACCAAAGGCAAAGAAGTTGAAAACTTTGAAAAAAATTTAGAAGAATGTATAACTAGAATAACCAATACAGAGAAGTGCTTAAAGGAGCTGATGGAGCTGAAAACCAAGGCTCGAGAACTACGTGAAGAATGCAGAAGCCTCAGGAGCCGATGCGATCAACTGGAAGAAAGGGTATCAGCAATGGAAGATGAAATGAATGAAATGAAGCGAGAAGGGAAGTTTAGAGAAAAAAGAATAAAAAGAAATGAGCAAAGCCTCCAAGAAATATGGGACTATGTGAAAAGACCAAATCTACGTCTGATTGGTGTACCTGAAAGTGATGTGGAGAATGGAACCAAGTTGGAAAACACTCTGCAGGATATTATCCAGGAGAACTTCCCCAATCTAGCAAGGCAGGCCAACGTTCAGATTCAGGAAATACAGAGAACGCCACAAAGATACTCCTCGAGAAGAGCAACTCCAAGACACATAATTGTCAGATTCACCAAAGTTGAAATGAAGGAAAAAATGTTAAGGGCAGCCAGAGAGAAAGGTCGGGTTACCCTCAAAGGAAAGCCCATCAGACTAACAGCGGATCTCTCGGCAGAAACCCTACAAGCCAGAAGAGAGTGGGGGCCAATATTCAACATTCTTAAAGAAAAGAATTTTCAACCCAGAATTTCATATCCAGCCAAACTAAGCTTCATAAGTGAAGGAGAAATAAAATACTTTATAGACAAGCAAATGTTGAGAGATTTTGTCACCACCAGGCCTGCCCTAAAAGAGCTCCTGAAGGAAGCGCTAAACATGGAAAGGAACAACCGGTACCAGCCGCTGCAAAATCATGCCAAAATGTAAAGACCATCGAGACTAGGAAGAAACTGCATCAACTAATGAGCAAAATCACCAGCTAACATCATAATGACAGGATCAAATTCACACATAACAATATTAACTTTAAATATAAATGGACTAAATTCTGCAATTAAAAGACACAGACTGGCAAGTTGGATAAAGAGTCAAGACCCATCAGTGTGCTGTATTCAGGAAACCCATCTCACGTGCAGAGACACACATAGGCTCAAAATAAAAGGATGGAGGAAGATCTACCAAGCCAATGGAAAACAAAAAAAGGCAGGGGTTGCAATCCTAGTCTCTGATAAAACAGACTTTAAACCAACAAAGATCAAAAGAGACAAAGAAGGCCATTACATAATGGTAAAGGGATCAATTCAACAAGAGGAGCTAACTATCCTAAATATTTATGCACCCAATACAGGAGCACCCAGATTCATAAAGCAAGTCCTCAGTGACCTACAAAGAGACTTAGACTCCCACACATTAATAATGGGAGACTTTAACACCCCACTGTCAACATTAGACAGATCAACGAGACAGAAAGTCAACAAGGATACCCAGGAATTGAACTCAGCTCTGCACCAAGCAGACCTAATAGACATCTACAGAACTCTCCACCCCAAATCAACAGAATATACATTTTTTTCAGCACCACACCACACCTATTCCAAAATTGACCACATACTGGGAAGTAAAGCTCTCCTCAGCAAATGTAAAAGAACAGAAACTATAACAAACTATCTCTCAGACCACAGTGCAATCAAACTAGAACTCAGGATTAAGAATCTCACTCAAAGCCGCTCAACTACATGGAAACTGAACAACCTGCTCCTGAATGACTACTGGGTACATAACGAAATGAAGGCAGAAATAAAGATGTTCTTTGAAACCAACGAGAACAAAGACACCACATACCAGAATCTCTGGGACGCATTCAAAGCAGCGTGTAGAGGGAAATTTATAGCACTAAATGCCTACAAGAGAAAGCAGGAAAGATCCAAAATTGACACCCTAACATCACAATTAAAAGAACTAGAAAAGCAAGAGCAAACACATTCAAAAGCTAGCAGAAGGCAAGAAATAACTAAAATCAGAGCAGAACTGAAGGAAATAGAGACACAAAAAACCCTTCAAAAAATCAATGAATCCAGGAGCTGGTTTTTTGAAAGGATCAACAAAATTGATAGACCGCTAGCAAGACTAATAAAGAAAAAAAGAGAGAAGAATCAAATAGACACAATAAAAAATGATAAAGGGGATATCACCACCGATCCCACAGAAATACAAACTACCATCAGAGAATACTACAAACACCTCTACGCAAATAAACTAGAAAATCTAGAAGAAATGGATACATTCCTCGACACATACACTCTCCCAAGACTAAACCAGGAAGAAGTTGAATCTCTGAATCGACCAATAACAGGCTCTGAAATTGTGGCAATAATCAATAGTTTACCAACCAAAAAGAGTCCAGGACCAGATGGATTCACAGCCGAATTCTACCAGAGGTACAAGGAGGAACTGGTACCATTCCTTCTGAAACTATTCCAATCAATAGAAAAAGAGGGAATCCTCCCTAACTCATTTTATGAGGCCAGCATCATTCTGATACCAAAGCCTGGCAGAGACACAACCAAAAAAGAGAATTTTAGACCAATATCCTTGATGAACATTGATGCAAAAATCCTCAATAAAATACTGGCAAACCGAATCCAGCAGCACATCAAAAAGCTTATCCACCATGATCAAGTGGGCTTCATCCCTGGGATGCAAGGCTGGTTCAATATACGCAAATCAATAAATGTAATCCAGCATATAAACAGAGCCAAAGACAAAAACCACATGATTATCTCAATAGATGCAGAAAAAGCCTTTGACAAAATTCAACAACCCTTCATGCTAAAAACTCTCAATAAATTAGGTATTGATGGGACGTATTTCAAAATAATAAGAGCTATCTATGACAAACCCACAGCCAATATCATACTGAATGGGCAAAAACTGGAAGCATTCCCTTTGAAAACCGGCACAAGACAGGGATGCCCTCTCTCACCGCTCCTATTCAACATAGTGTTGGAAGTTCTGGCCAGGGCAATCAGGCAGGAGAAGGAAATAAAGGGTATTCAATTAGGAAAAGAGGAAGTCAAATTGTCCCTGTTTGCAGACGACATGATTGTTTATCTAGAAAACCCCATCGTCTCAGCCCAAAATCTCCTTAAGCTGATAAGCAACTTCAGCAAAGTCTCAGGATACAAAATCAATGTACAAAAATCACAAGCATTCTTATACACCAACAACAGACAAACAGAGAGCCAAATCATGGGTGAACTCCCATTCACAATTGCTTCAAAGAGAATAAAATACCTAGGAATCCAACTTACAAGGGATGTGAAGGACCTCTTCAAGGAGAACTACAAACCACTGCTCAAGGAAATAAAAGAGGACACAAACAAATGGAAGAACATTCCATGCTCATGGGTAGGAAGAATCAATATCGTGAAAATGGCCATACTGCCCAAGGTAATTTACAGATTCAATGCCATCCCCATCAAGCTACCAATGACTTTCTTCACAGAATTGGAAAAAACTACTTTAAAGTTCATATGGAACCAAAAAAGAGCCCGCATTGCCAAGTCAATCCTAAGCCAAAAGAACAAAGCTGGAGGCATCACACTACCTGACTTCAAACTATACTACAAGGCTACAGTAACCAAAACAGCATGGTACTGGTACCAAAACAGAGATATAGATCAATGGAACAGAACAGAGCCCTCAGAAATAATGCCGCATATCTACAACTATCTGATCTTTGACAAACCTGAGAAAAACAAGCAATGGGGAAAGGATTCCCTATTTAATAAATGGTGCTGGGAAAACTGGCTAGCCATATGTAGAAAGCTGAAACTGGATCCCTTCCTTACACCTTATACAAAAATCAATTCAAGATGGATTAAAGATTTAAACGTTAAACCTAAAACCATAAAAACCCTAGAAGAAAACCTAGGCATTACCATTCAGGACATAGGCGTGGGCAAGGACTTCATGTCCAAAACACCAAAAGCAATGGCAACAAAAGACAAAATTGACAAATGGGATCTAATTAAACTAAAGAGCTTCTGCACAGCAAAAGAAACTACCATCAGAGTGAACAGGCAACCTACAACATGGGAGAAAATTTTTGCAACCTACTCATCTGACAAAGGGCTAATATCCAGAATCTACAATGAACTCAAACAAATTTACAAGAAAAAAACAAACAACCCCATCAAAAAGTGGGCGAAGGACATGAACAGACACTTCTCAAAAGAAGACATTTATGCAGCCAAAAAACACATGAAGAAATGCTCATCATCACTGGCCATCAGAGAAATGCAAATCAAAACCACTATGAGATATCATCTCACACCAGTTAGAATGGCAATCATTAAAAAGTCAGGAAACAACAGGTGCTGGAGAGGATGCGGAGAAATAGGAACACTTTTACACTGTTGGTGGGACTGTAAACTAGTTCAACCATTGTGGAAGTCAGTGTGGCGATTCCTCAGGGATCTAGAACTAGAAATACCATTTGACCCAGCCATCCCATTACTGGGTATATACCCAAATGAGTATAAATCATGCTGCTATAAAGACACATGCACACATATGTTTATTGCGGCACTATTCACAATAGCAAAGACTTGGAACCAACCCAAATGTCCAACAATGATAGACTGGATTAAGAAAATGTGGCACATATACACCATGGAATACTATGCAGCCATAAAAAATGATGAGTTCATATCCTTTGTAGGGACATGGATGAAATTGGAAACCATCATTCTCAGTAAACTATCGCAAGAACAAAAAACCAAACACCGCATATTCTCACTCATAGGTGGGAATTGAACAATGAGATCACATGGACACAGGAAGGGGAATATCACACTCTGGGGACTGTGGTGGGGTCGGGGGAGGGGGGAGGGATAGCATTGGGAGATATACCTAATGCTAGATGACACATTAGTGGGTGCAGCGCACCAGCATGGCACATGTATACATATGTAACTAACCTGCACAATGTGCACATGTACCCTAAAACTTAGAGTATAATAAAAAAAAAAAAAAAAAAAAAAAGAAAACCACTCAAAAAAAAAAAAAAAAAAAAAAAGGAGCCCGGAACCTCCCTCACTTTCCTCCCTCTCTCGCCATGTGATCTCTGCACACACTGGCTGCCCCTCACCTTCTGATATTAGTGGAAGCTCATGGTTCTGCAGGTTGACATGTTCTTGCAAAACCTGAAGTTGTACTGAAGAATTGAAGCCAACCTAACTCTAAAACCTTTTCTTTTTTCCATATCTAGGGATATCATTTTCTAGGGTAAATATGCTTCCCTAATGGAAAACATGGACCTCTTTAGAATCAGAAATCTCATCTGTACCTGAACCTGATTTCAACTCCCAAATCCTGAATTTGAATTGACAATCTAAAATAACAAGGTTTTGAGATCCTGGGAGGAAGTGAGTATATTTTGCATCAGGGAGGAGCATATAAAATCTTTGGTCAGGGGTACTCATTGAGTGTGGGCCGTATTTAGTGACCGCTTGTCATAAATAAAATGTGTCAAAAGTTATAGTGTTGTTGGGATTCAGAGATAAACATCACTGTGACTTCTTCCTCTCTTTTTTAAATCCTTCACATTGCAGGCAGCCAGCTGTCATGTCATAAAAACTTTTAAGTGATCCTATGAAGAGACCCAAGGGGTGAGGAACTGAGACCTCATGATAACATCCAGCATGAATTTAGCTGTGGGAGCCAGTCACATTGGAAGTGGATCTTGCAGCCCCAGGCAAGACTGGAGATGACTGCAGCTTTTGTGAACATCTTCACTGCAATATCATTACATACCCCGAGCCTGAGCCAGACAGTTGAGCCTTTCCCAGATTCCTGACCCTCAGAAACTCTTATTTTAATAAATTCTTATTTTTCTACATTGCTAAGTTGTAGGGTGATTTGTATAAAGCAGTAGGTAATTGGCACAATTAGACACTCAGTAGGCATTTGGTCACATAAAGTATGCCTCAGATAGTTTGCAAATGCCTCTGGAGGTTTGCCATTGTTCCTCCAACATGGTAGGTTTTCTATCAGGATTTGCTGATTGATTGTGTTCTTCCTAAAAAAAAATCTAGGGAATTTTCATGGGAAACTGAATGGATAGCTGTCATTCTTTTCCTATCCATTTTCTCAGTTTTTCCCGAGGACGGAGTAGTTCAAGTTGAACTCTCAGCTCCACATATGGATATGCGGCACAGGTCTGGCCAGTGGACATATTTCATGTTATGTCCACAGTTTTACCAATTCAGAAATGGGCACTACACCCAAGTCTGTTTAGTCAGGTAATTCTTGATGCATTGACAGGGAACAAAGCTTCTAGTCACCAGACTAGAAGCTAGAAAAATATGAACCCTGAACTTGTTGGAACCCTCCATACAGAAGGAGCCTGACCGGGAATAAAGACTACACAGAGGGCGTCAGTATTGAGAAACAGAGAAAATAGGTCCTAGAGAAGGCTGCAGTCCAACTTTGCAATAAACCTTAAAAGCCCTCTTCGGGTACATGACTCAACTAATTTCATTTTTGGCTTAAAATTTGATCTGTGCTTTCATTATTTGTAACCAAAAATGTTTAACTAATATAGGTTGTGTTCTAGGTCCGCCAGACCATTGCTACCTACACAACTGTCTACATCGTCTCTACTTAAATCTTCATTGATGCCTTTAGCTCATTTAAGTTTGCTCAAAATGACCTCTTTAGAGCACCCCATTCAGAAAACACCACCTGCCATCTTACCCTTTCTGTAAATCTCACCCTTTGGGAAATCTTGGGCAGTGAGCTTTTTTCTAGTTGCTGTGTTCTAACCCAGGGTATGCAGATGCTATTTCAAAGCCACTTTTGCCCTATTTAGAAGCCAGTTTGCTACACATTTCTAAGCAAGCAACAGGACAACTTTAAATTTCCATATGACAGCTCATCCATCACATGTCGCCTTAAGCACTCATAAGCCAGGTCCACAAAGTGCTTTCCCGGGGCATGGAAGACTTAAGCATATTAATGTTTTTATTAGGCCTTTAGCATTTCATTATTGCCTAGTCCAGCTGAAGCCAGAGGCCTGGGCATTTAATTATCACATACATAAGTTGGTGGGCACGCTCTCTGTGCCATTATAGATCCATTTATGTGTCTTTTTCAAGAATGAAAGGAATTCAGTACTTGCTAATGATGCATAACAGGCTTCTGCGGTCCTGAAAGCCATAATTTATTGACAAACAATATAATTACCGACCCATAAATGCATAAGCCCATCATTTATCAGAAAAAGAGACATGAAAAGATGACCACTCTTGAAATCCTTGCTTTTATCCTTCCTGTGATGACCTTCAAAGAAACTTGACAATGAGAAGAAAACGTGCCTTTCAGATGATGTGGCTGAAAACAATAGAGTGTTATAAATATCAGAAAAGCTCACTATCAACCAACTGACACCTCCAGTGGGGAAGCAATAGGAATGCCATTTTGTTACTGTTCATGAGACGTTCCTCCCACCACGTTGGACACAAACTCAAAGGAAGATGAAGCCATCATGCACAGGGGTATGAATGCAGGCTCAGAGCCAGCAGGTTGGGTAGAAACCTGAGCTCCACCACCCACCAGCTGTGTAACCTTTAGGAAGCTACTTTCCCTCTAATGCCTCTGATTTTTCATGTATAAAATTTAGGTAAAAGCCTTACCTACCTTAAAGTCTTACATGAGGCAGACATATGTCAATGCTACTAATGTGCTTGGCCAATAATAAAAGTTAGCTCCCTTATCTATAACTAGTAAGTAAATGACTAAGGGCAGAAGACATATGCATTCCATTTTTATAGCATCCTAAGCCCTATGAGCACGACACTGAACACAATATATGGTCAGTGAATGTTTTTGGGAAAAATGCTTTCCATGAGGACAAAAAAAAAAAAAAAAAAAAAAAACACCGTAGATCTAAGTATGCAATTCCAAGTCTCCACCCAATAAAAACCCATTTGACTATAGAGAGCTCCTTCTTTCTTTGATTTCCTCCGTTGAAAAGGAATTCACAGGAGATGCTCCAGAAAGTTATGGAACAATTTAGGCAACCACATATTCCATTATTGGACCAACTTCTTTCCTTTCCTGCCTCCCTCCTTCTCTCTTTCCTTCCCTCTTTCTTTCCTTCCTCCTTCCTTCCCTCCCTCCTTCCCCCTTCCCTCTTTCCTTCCTTTCCTCTTTCCCGCCTTCCCTCTTTCCTTCCTTCCTTCCTTCCTTCCTTCTTCTCTCCCTCTCTCCCTGCCTCTCTTCCTTCCTTCCTTCCCTCCTTTTCTTCCTTATTTCTTCTAACTATGTCCTCTGTGTACTTACAGTATCCCAGGCACTCTGCTAAGTAATGGGAAACCCACTGTTTAGTAACATAGTCCTAGAACCCATGAAGCTTCCAATCAATTAGAAACCAAAACTTACAGATATACATATGAATACTTACATAGACGTATGACAGATTAAACATTGTGCTGTCTTTTTAAAAATACTGTATTACTTGATTCTTGCCTGATGAGATTTAATTACACGCACATTTAACACATAAAAATTCAATTATATGTGCTGAGAATAAAATATCGTAAGAAAAAAATAAAACCTATCTATGATGCCTTTGATACCCCTTTTAAACTAGACTTGGACATGTAAGGACCCACAGAGTTTAGCAACAGCCAAATGCAAGAGAAAAAAGAAAATTAATTCTCAAATGTTGAGTTTTGAAGAGCCCGAGTCCTTGTGATTTAAGTTTAATTTACAGAATTTCAAAGGGTCACTTTCATTCGTGAAAAAGTCTGCCTAATGAATGCTGATTTAGAACTAATCTCTGCATACAGTGCAATCCCATTAGACCATCATCATCTCCATATTACACACGAGGAAATTAAGGCATTAAGAGCTAACAACTTGCCAAAGATCAAATAGCTACAAAGTAGTAAAGCCACATTTTAACCAAAGACGGAAAAAGTTGGCCATTGTAAGATACTGATTCTGAAATATTTATTTCTTTATAATGAGCAAGAATTGGTTTCCTTACACTTTCCACTTTAGAGATCCAGAAAAAAGAACAAATCTCTGTAGTCCATTCAGCAGCCCTTTCAATACTTAAGGAAAAGCCATCATGCCTTCCACTTTGTGTCAGCCCTGGGACGTTTCTCTTTCTCCTCACATAGTTAAGCACTTGCACTTCCTTCAGCTTTTCATACTGTAATGTAATTTCCAGGTCCCTCAGCACCCCGAAGTCTTACCCTCTGGCAGAACATGTGTCAATTTCCCAGTGTTACTATTATGGCCTAGAATGCCAACGGAATCCTAGGACAGAGTGACAAAGAGAGGCCTGTCATTGGTTGCCCACTTCGTGTAGAGACCAGTATTCATTCACTTTTCACTTTTTTTTATGAACTCTAATATTAAAAATCAAGAGGCTATGTGTGATGAGAAGTGGCTTGTGCCCTTCAACCTTAATACCAGAGACACAGGAGGGAGCGGTGGGGACTGAGGTCCGTTGGAGACCACAGGCACCATATAACAGTTAGTTGCCACTCAGTCCCAGCTGATGTTAACCAGGTGGGAATGTGAGCCTAGCTGAAGCTTTTCAAGAGCAACAGAAATCCAGTTTCCTATTTGAAATTGCCTGTTTTTTTATATCTTATATGCAGCATATAATTTAAGTTTTAAATTCTATGTCCAATATCAAATATAATCAAACAAACAAACAAAATTATATGCCAACATGGCTTTCAGTCAAGTTGCTAGTTGTATTTTGACCTCTTTTCTAGAAAATAGGTATTATTTGTTGCTGTTAAATATCACATTAGTACTTTGGGAAGCCTCATTTAACAACTCACATATATGGAGTCTAATATTGATAAAACTATCCAAGGCCTTTCTTCATAGACATTGCTTTTATGCTATATTTCCCAAGTCATACACTTGTAAAGGTGATTTTTCTTGTTTGTTTGCTTATTTATTTATAGGGATGTATGCTATTTTTGAAAATGCATTTAGATATAAATACAGAACTTTACATTTATTTCTTCTAATCTTGTTACATTAGGCCCAAAGTTCCAGCCTATCAAAATCTTTTTTCCTCCCTCCAGATTCTGTGTCCTAACTACTTCCCCATTTCATCCCTCAAAAGTGTAGGCAACTTGGGGACATAAAGAAGCTAGCAGATTTTGTGTTTGGATTGCCATAACTTAAATTTTCCTCCAGGTTACACTTTCTCTTTTGGGTAAGTCAGGGTCTCAACACAGAGTTTCCCCAATGTGTAAATATTATGCAGATATTCCATAAGGGTCTTGACTGTTCCTTGAAAATCCATCTCTGTGGATCACATAGTTTTCGGGACCTTGGTGGAAATAAAGTGTTCGTAGGCTGGCATCTGTCTGCAGGGTGCTCATGAGTCCTGTGCACCTTTGGAGGTGTCTTTGGGATGAATGCAGAAGTTGCTATGAAGATGAGAACAACTGTGCCGAGAATCATTCATCTCAGAGTCATAGAGTTTATCATTAATTGGATGGTGTACTTCAGCTAATTAATTATATCCCTGCATTTTACACAAGTCCCCTACAGAACCTGGCTTTTCCCAGAAAAGTATTAGAGCAGCTGTGAGCATGGTCATTTGATTCCATGTGTAATCACTGATCATGGCTGGTTAAGAGGAAGGTTCCATCTTCATTCAGTTACAAGAGTAACTGTGAAGCATGTAACTACCATCTTCCTAAGTGATTTATCTATGGAGCTGGGCACAGGATGGCTTCAGTATGTTTCTGTGGAGAGACAAGGTAGTATAATGCAATAATGGGATCCAATCTGATATGGTTTGGCTGTGGTCCCACCCAAATCTCATCTTGAACTATAGCTCCCATAATTCCTACATGTTATGGGAGAGACCTGGTGGGAGACAAACGAATCAGGGGGTCGGTTTCTCCCATATTGTTCTCATGGTAGTGAATAAGTCTCACGCAATCTGATGATTTTATAAGGGGTTTCCCCTTTCACTTGCCTCTCATTCTCTCTTGTCTGGTGCCATGTAAGATGTGCCTTTCACCTTCCACTGTGATTGTGGGGGAGGCCTCTCCAGCCATGTGAAACTGTGAGTCCATTAAAACTCTTTTTCTTTACAAATTACCCAGTCTCAGCTATGTCTTTATCAGCAGCATGAAAATGGACTAATATGGTAAATTGGTAGAAATAGAGTGGGGAACTGCTGTAAAGATATAAAAAAAAAGTGGAAGCAACTTTGGAACTTGGTAACAGGCAAAGGTTGGAACAGTTTGGGGGGCTCAGAAGAAGACAGGAAAATGTGGGAAAGTTTGGAACTTTCGAGGGACTTGTTGAATGGCTTTGACAAAAACCATGATGATAATATGGACAATGAAATCCAGGCTGAGAAGGTCTCATATGGAGATGAGAAACTTGTTGGGAACTGGAGTAAAGGTTACTCTTGCTATGTTTTAGCAAAGAGACTGGCAGCATTTTGCCCCCATCCTAGATATTTGTGGAACCTTGAACTTGAGAGAGATTATTTAGGGTATCTGGTGGAAGAAATTTCTAGGCAGCAAAATATTCAAGAGGTGACTTGAATGCTGTTAAAAGCACTCAGTTTTAAAAGGGAAACATAAAAGTTTGGAAAATTTGCAGCCTTACGATGTGACAGAAAAGAAAAACCCATTTTCTGAGAAGAAATTCAAGCTGGCTGCAGAAATTTGCATGAATAACGAGAAGCCAAATGTTAATCACAAGGCAATGGAGAAAATGTCTCCAGAGCATGTCAGAGACCTTTGCAGCAGCCCCTCCCATCACAGGCCTGGAGGCCTAGGAGGAAAAAATGGTTTTGTGGGCCAGGCCCAGGGCCCCCCTGCTGTGTGCAGCCTAGCAACTCAGCACCCTGAGTCCCAGCCACTCTAGCCATGGCTAAAAGGAGTGAATGTACGACTCAGGCCATGGCTTCAGAGGGTGGAAGCCCCAAGTCTTGGCAGCTTCCACATGATATTGAGCCTGCACTGCAAGTGCACAGAAGTCAAGAATTGATGTTTGGGAACCTCCACCTATATTTCAGAGGATGTATGGAAATGCCTAGATGTCAAGCCAGAAGTTTGCTGCACAAGTGGGGCTCTCATGGAGAGAACCTCTGCTAGGACATTGAGGAAGGGAAATATGGGGTTGAAGCCCCCACACAGAGTCCCCACTGGGGCACTGCCTAGTGGAGCTGTGAGAAAAGGGCCACTGCCCTCCAGACTACAGAATGGTAGCTCCATTGACAGCTTGTACCATGAGCCTGGAAAAGCTGCAGACACTCAATGCCAGCCTGTGAAAGCTGCCAGAAGGGGTGCTGTACCCTGCAAAGCCACAGGGGCAGAGCTGCCCAAGGCCATGGGAACCCACCTCTTGCATCAGCATGACCTCGATGTGAGGCATAGAGTCAAAGGAGATCATTTGGAAACTTTAAGATTTGACTGCTCCACTGGATTTTGGACTTGCATGGGGGCCTTTAGCCCCTTTGTTTTGGCCAATTTCTCCCATATAGAACAGATGTATTTACTCAATGCCTGTACCCCCATTGTATCTAGGAGTAACTAACTTGCTTTTGGTTTTACAGGTTCATAGGCAGAAGGAACTTGCCTTGTCTCAGTTGAGACCTTGGACTGTGGACATTTGAGTTAATGCTGAAATGAGTTAAGATTTTGGGGGACTGTTGGAAAGGCATGATTGTTTTTGAAATGCGAAAACATGACATTTGGGAGGGGCCAGTGGTGGAATGATATGGTTTGTCTGTGTCCCCACCAAAATCTCATCTCGAATTGTAGCTTTCATAATTCCCATGTGTTGTGGGAGGGACTCTGTAGGAAATAATTGAATCATGGGGGTGGTTCCTCCATACTGTTCTCATGGTAGTGAATAAGTCTCACGAGATCTGGTGATTTCATAAGGGGTTTCCCCTGTCTCTTGGCTCTCATTCTTTCTTGCCTGCTGCTATGTAGGATATGCCTTTCACCTTCCACCATGATTGTGAGGCTTCCCCAGCCAGGTGGAACTGTGAGGCCATTAAACCTCTTTCTTTTATAAATTACCCAGTCTTGGGTATGACTATATCAGCAGTGTGAAAACAGACTAATACACAGCCCTCCATGAGCTTGGATTTTCTTCCCCAAGGTGGAGTTCTTCAAGGGAAGAGGTGGGGGACTCCATACCAGGCTCTTGGGAGGGGAACAGAAGGCTTAGGGAACTTCAGATTGAGTGATTTCTTTAGGCCCATGATAGTGTAAGCATTCAGATACCATCTCCCTGGAATGCTTGTCTCCCCACTGTAATAATGATAAGAGAATGATAAATTATGTCCATCATAAAGGTCAGCCAGGAAAAAAATGCATCATCATCATTTTTAGTTTATTTGCAGATGAGCTTCTGAAATTTGCTTCAGATATTTCAAAACACTTAATATTTAAGGAGTTTCAATTTATTCAACTAAAACCTGCCCATAGAGTACATAGGTAACAAATAGGTCAGCCACATTTAGAAAATAAAAATATAGGATTTCCAGCTATATTTGAATTTCAGACAAGCAACAAATGATTTTTATTGCAATTATGTCTCATAAAATATTTATGACTAAAAAAAAAACCACTGCTGTTTGTCTGAAATTCAGATTTAACTGGGCATTGGAAGTCCTATATTTTATTTGGTAATTCCAAATGCAGGGAGTCCTTTCACACATTGATATTTATGCAGATTATATGCCAGTTTATCTTTTGTTTTTAGTAAAATTGTATTTTCCAAGCCCAGAAAATACATCGTAAGAATTTTGAGTTTTGCTAAGAATGATTATTTTAAAAGTTAGGCCTCTCAGAAACACCATTTTTTAAAAATCAAAGCTGCCATTATTTAAGGTGCAGCCACCTTCAAAAATCTTCACCCTGAAGAGTAGGCTTCAAGCAGAAGAAAATAATTCTTCCAAGGCCTTTTCTACCATTAGAAAATACTTACAGACTTTTATATCCATCTTAAAGATTTTATGATTGAGACAAATCTATGCTCATTCTCTGTATAGGGACAGGTGGAACAGGTAGAGTAGCAGAATTCAGCATTATTATTATCCTTTTCCTAAAACAAACAATAAACTGGACTCTAGTCTCAGAAACTTAGAAAAGGACAGGTGGAACTGAAGAGCCAGTGTTTTCTTCCAGATCCTTTTAAGGGCCCTATTACAAAAATGCAGTTGTACTGTGTTTTTTTTAAAAAAAGAATAAACAGTAGGTCTGTATTTCAGTCTTTTGCAAAGAGCACAGCAGGGCCAGACACTGGATCCTGGTGGATTTGTAGACCCAGTAGAGTAGAATTAGAGGAAAAACAGAAGTCAAAACAAACAAAAAACAGGAATAACGTTCCACAGAAAGTTTCTAACTGCAGAATTTATAATACAGGCAATATTTAAGATTATTTTAGCTGGTACCTAGATAAATTTGTAAGGTCTTTGAAAAAATTAACTTTAACATCTTAACGTGTATTAAGAAAGGTAACACACAAAACTCATGGTTTCATGAATTGTTTACTTGATGTGTGGCTGAATTTATTTTTTCTTTTTAAGTCTAAAAAGTGAATTAAAGAAAAATGCTAAATATATAAAGACACAAATGTTAAGTTCATTTGCCAAAAACTGTGAAGGTGATGTGTAAATGTACTTTAGGAAATATTGCCCTATGAGAGGGTTATTTCTGCTAAGATGGTGAGCAGGATATCTATTCCAGAAAGAGGGAAGCAACATGACCTGCTGCTGTGTCCTACTGATCCCAGAGTCTCTATCAGTCTTTCACTCCTTAGTGAGGCCATTCTGGCCTCCAGCCTTTCAGAGCATGGGAAGCTCAGTCAGAATAAGACCCTGGGCAATACAGAAGGAATGAGAAAGGAGACTGAACACTTAAGAGATCTGAAGATAAAGCCCCCGCATATTTTAACGACATCTTCATCTGAACATGTGCATTCCACAAACTCCCACACGTCAACCATAGAGCCTCCCTCTCGAACTGCCACAGTGAAGACACCACATTGATTTTCTCAAATGGAGTCTCAAAAGCAGAGTGATTTTGCTAAATAATAAATCAAGTCTGGCCAAAACTTGTGCTTTCCTCATATATGTATATACATTTTCATCCAAGACTATACTTTAGCTTTTCCATAGTATTTGCAGCTGCCTATTATAGCTTCCATTCATAACCTCCCCAAATCCCTAGGGCAGCTCCTATACATCTTTGGCACAAGGAAAGAGGTATTTCTCTAAGGTAAAGATTCATTTAAATAATTCACTTGTAGCAGAGGCTGCCAAACACTCTTCATACATCAGTGGATGAGCCTTTCATTCAGCTCTCTATTGTGAATCAGCTTTGAGTTTTATGCTTTAAAAGCATATTTATGTTTATTTACAGAGACCAACTGCCATCCAGTTTTCATGTTGGTCAAACAGTGGGAAACAGTGTGTCTTTGATCCTCCAAAACACATTGAGCACATATGCAAGTGGTAGCAATGAAGCTCACTCTTCAGTATTAGCGGGAAGTTCTGCTATGTAAGAAGTAGACAGTGAACAGCATAAAAAATGAACTGAAAAAAAAAGGATATATTTTTTCAGAAAAAGAATCTTTGTGGAGCTATCTAGTATTACAACTTCAGCAACATTATGAGCGGCTAAAATTTTACCAGTGAAGATGTCAAACTCATCCTCTATGAACATAAAAAGAGGCCTTAGATTCAACCCCTAGCAACCCTAAGAGTAAATGACAGTGTAGTAAAGAATTTAGCTTTGTCCAAAGAGAGACCTGGTCTGTTTTGGCTCCTGGGAGGTAACCTCTAAGTCCTTGAAGTTTCTTGCCTGATAGAAGTATCTTTGTTTATCTGGGATTCTTGGGCCTCACAAAATTCAAAAAAAGTAATTTAGGGTAGGGGCTTTGGGTAACACAAATCAGCTTGACCTCTGAAGGGCCTGAAGACAGCTTGACCTGTGAAGGGCCTGAAGACAGAGACCAACAACCTGAATGGTCCAGCAAGATTATGTGTTTGAGCCCCAGCAAAAACTCTGGACCTCATGACTCAAATGAGCTTCCCTGATTGGCTGACTTCAGTGTGTATTGCCATGCATCATTGCCAACAAAATAACAATGGCTATGACTTAATGAGGAGAGGACCACTGGAAGCTCCATGTTTGCAACTTTCCTGAATTTGGCTCTCCTTCCTCTCTCACTTGCTAATTTTAGTGTATTTTTGTTGTCGGTATATACTGTAATTATGAGTATAACAGATTTATTTCAATATTGTGAGTCCCTCTAGCGAATTATCAAAACAAAGGTTTTGAGGATCTATGAATTTGCAATTGGTGTCACAAGTGAGAGTGGTCTTGTGACACTGTTTTCTAACTTCACACTGGCACTCCCTCTTTTCATTTTGTTCAAGTTAGTTTCAACTTTTAAATAATGACGTATCTATTGACTGCTCTGCATAATCTCAAAGCTGGAAATAATTGTACGAGAGTACTAGTTCCAAATACTATCTTTCGGGAAGGGAGTGAAGTAGTAATTTCTGCTGGGAGGTGGGGAAACTGAGGCCCCAATACACTAAATATATATGGGGAGTGGCATTTGCAGAAAATTAAACAGCAAGTTAACATGTTAATTCAAGACAGTATGTAATTTCTAATTCCACAACCTATCAGTTTCTGGACATGAAAGGCATTTTAAATATGGTAGTACCTAGAGAGAATAAATTTAAAAAATAAGCTAATATAGTTTGAATATTTGTTCCCTCCAAATCTCATGTTGAAATTTGATCCCCAGTGTTGGAGGTGGGCCCAGTGGGAGGTACTTGAGGTATGGGGGCAGATCCCTCATTAATAGCTTGGTGTCATTCTGCTGGAAGTGAATGCATCTTCATTCTTACTTCCTGCAAGGTCTGGTTATTAAAAATAGACTGGCACCTTCCTCTTCTCTTCCTTCCTTTCTCTCGCCATGTGATGTCAGCTTCCCTTTGCCTTCTGCTATGAGGGGAGGCTCCCTGAGTCCTCACCAGATACAGATGACAGCTGTATGCTTCTTGTACAGCCTTCAGAACTGTGAGCCAAATAAACCTCTTTACCTAGCTTCAGGTATTCCTTTGTAGCAACACAAAATGGACTAAGACATCAGCTAAGCTCAGCGTGTTGTCTTTACATTATTGGAACAGTTATTATTAGAGGAAAGGTGGGTAAAATGTTGGAGCAGCATGTTTTAATGATAACTCCATGGTAAATTCCTACTATCTCAGCACACTAGGAGTCACTAATAAAGAAGACAGTTGGGAAATAGGCCTTATGAATATCATCAACATATTTACTTGATCAAGAATAATATTCACCACTAGCCCTACAGAATGAAGAATAGGTGCATCTTTAACCTCTCTATTGGCAAGGTGGAAACTGGTAAATTAACATTAAGGATGAATGTTTTTCCTGCAGAGAATGAGAACTGAATCAAAGAAAAACAGCAGGGTTGTAAGCTCCACAAGGGAAGGGAATGCATTTCTTTGAGCCAGTTTCTAGCACAGTGCCAGGTGCCTGGCATAGCATTCAAATAATGTTTGTTGAGTGAGTGCAAAGCCATTAATCAATGCTGCCATAAGCACCTGTTGGGAATTTTCCTGTTCTTAACCCCCACTGTCGCAGAAACATCAAAGGGTTGCCTGGTAACCATTATGTCTATATAACCCTGCCCACCTAGCTGCTGTGGATTGGTCCAAAGATGACACACATTGGGCCAATGAGCCATTCCCTTGGGGAATTGGAAGAAATAATGGATTCCAGCCTTGGTCTACCTCTCATTTGAAAGAAGGAGACGTTAACTCAGGAAAGATTGGTAGCTACTTTCTGCCACATGACCTGGGAAGTGGAGAAGGCAGGGAAGCATGAAGCAGAGGTGCCGACAGAAGCAGAGATGGAAGGTGGAAGAAACTTCCTATAAGCCTGGAGCTTTGGGTCCAGCTCATTCCTGAGGAGTGGCTCCTTCCCTGTCTTTGGGGTCAGTGAGGCACGCTGTTATCATAATAAATCCTATCTGTGCTCCAGCTAGCTCCAGCAAGTTTCTCTTATTTGCAATCAGAAAAGTCCCAACCAAAGGGTTCTAATAAAAAATAAATCAATATCTTCTGCAATCTGACCTCACTGAGGGATTGGTGATCTAAAGGCATCATGCCTTCCACAGGAACCTAGAAGTACCAATGATTCCTTCACTTGTATGCATGCTTTGCTTTTTCAACTACAGACACTGATCATTACACCAGCAACTTAAGGATGCAAGACAAATGGCTGTGAGGAGAATCAGGAGAGACAGGTTCAAGTCCTAGTTCTGCCACCAACTTCCTGGTGACTCAGACCCAGCAATAATCTCTCTAGTCTTCGTTTCCCATTCATAAAGATGGAAGTAATAATCCCCAGTCTGCCAGCTTTGCAAAGATGAAAAGTTCTTTCCAAATGTTCAGTGATGAAGAATTCTTTTAAAAATTATGATCTACTTAAAAGGGAGAAAAAGCTGGTTTGGAAAGCCTAAGGGAAGTCGGCTTCACCAAAAGGAAATATGCATGAGCCAAGCAGGTAAAGATTAAGACCAGAGCAGTCCAAGTGGATACCAAGGCAAGAGCAGACACCCTGAGAAGGAACTACCATCGTTAAACCAACTTTTTAGAAAAGGTCACTGAGGTGTGTAGTTACTCACTCAAAGCCACACATCTAGTCAGTACCAGAGGTTGAATCACACCCATGGATGTCCATCTCTGAAACGCACACTCTTAGTCAATGCCCTTAACCCCTTAAGGGAAATTGTTTTCAATGAGGCAATGAGGATGCAATTGGAAAAATGAGCTGTGAGTGGCTTTTGCTGTGTTGGTATCTGTGCAGGCTCATATTGTTTTAAAATAAACAGAAAAGTATGAAGAATTTGAACAAACTCCTTGCATGGCCCAGCCTCAGCTATTTGTTGTTGTTATACTTTAAGTTCTGGGATACATGTGCAGAACGTGCAGGTTTGTTACATAGTTATACACGTGCCATGGTGGTTTGCTGCACCCATCAACCCGTCATCTACATTAGGTATTTCTCCTAATGCTCTCCCTCCCCTAGCCACCTACCCCCTGACAGGCCCTGGTGTGTGATGTTCTCCTCCCTGTGTCCATGTGTTCTCATTGTTCATCTCCCACTTATGAGTGAGAACATGCAATGTTTGGTTTTCTCTTCCTGTGTTAGTTTGCTGAGAATGATGGTTTGCAGCTTCATCCATGTCACTTTAAAGGACATGGAATCATACTTTTTTATGGCTGCATAGTATTCCATGGTATATATGTGCCTCATTTTCTTTAGCGTGGTACTAGTACCAAAACAGATGTATAGACCAATGGAACAGAACAGAGGCCTACAACCATCTGATCTGTGACAAACCTGACAAAAACAAGCAATGGGGAAAGGATTCCCTATTTAATAAATGGTGTTGGGAAAACTGGCTAGCCATATACAGAAAACTGAAACTGGACCACTTCCTTACACCTTATACAAAAATTAATTCAAGATAGATTAAAGACTTAAATGTTAGACCTAAAACCATAAATACCCTAGAAGAAAACCTAGTCAATACCATTCAGGACATAGGCATGGACAAAGACTTCATGACTAAAACAGCAAAAACAATGGCAACAAAAACCAAAATTGATAAATGAGATCCAACTAAACTAAAGAACTTCTGCACAGCAAAATAAACTATCATCAGAGTGAACAAGCAACCTACAGATTGGGAGAAAATTTTTGCAATCTATCCATCTGACAAAAGGCTAATATCCAGAATCTACAAGGAACTTAAACAAATTTACAAGAAAAAACAAACAACCCCATCAAAAAGTGAGTGAAGGATATGAACAGACATTTCTCAAAAGAAGACATTTATGTGGCCAACAAACATATGAAACACCACACCTCAAAACCACAATGAGATACCATCTCACACCAGTTAGAATGGCGATCATTAAAAAGTCAGGAAACAATAGATGCTAGAGAGTATGTGGAGAAATAGGAATGCTTTTACACTGTTGGTGGGAGTGTAAATTAGTTCAACTATTGTGGAAGACAGTGTGGAGATTCCTCAAGGATCTAGAACCAGAAATACCATTTGACCCAGGAATCCCATTACTGGGTATATACCCAAAGGATTATAAATCATTCTACTATAAAGACTCAGCTTTCCATGAAGGCAAGGAATAGGTGAATGAAGCATTGATGTTCTCAGCACCCATGGTATTTATTTTCTGAGGCTGAATAGAGGATGCTGTTTGAGAGACAGGTTCCTATCAGTCTGTCAGAGGCATATGTAACTGCTTCATTTTGAGCCAAGAAGGACAGGCTAAGGAGATCCCTTCTTGGGGAAAGAGGAGGAAAAACAATGAGAAATGTAGAGGCAAACAGACAGAGAGCTACAAAAAAAGAGGATTGATGGTAAGATGGAAAAACAAGAGACCACGTAAGAGTGCACCAAGCCTAAGTAAAGAGAGAAGCATAACAGAGAGACAGAAACAGAAGAAATAGGATATTTAAGAGAGGTAAAGAAAGATAACCTTAAACAAACAGGGCTAGAGATTAGCAATTAGAGAGCAAACATGATTAGAGACAGAGAGAAATATGACATGTGGCAGAAAGAAATACAGAAAGAAAGGGAGGCAAAGAACATGCAGGTTTAAATAGAGACAGAAACAGAGTTCAGATAGGTAGAAACAGACAAAGAAGATCACCTTAGAGACACGTAGACAACTGCAGACTGAGGGAGAGAGAGAATGAGGCTCCAAGGTAGACAGAAAGACAGACATACAGCAGAAGGACATGAAGACAGAAGTAGGTAGATAACTTTCAGTTGTGAACTTTAGTGTGGATTCCCTGTGCTTCTGCATCCTCTGCTCCTACCAATGCAGCTTGATCTGCATACACCCCAGCTCCAATGCCTGATTACAATTACTTAAGTGTTTATTCCTCCTCTACCTGAATCTATCCACACTTCAGTACATTTCTGCCTCATTTCCACTATACCTCACTAATCACGTTTCTTTTTTGTCTGAAGAAATGTTCTTATCCAGCGTGGACTAAATTAAAATTTGGGAAACATCAGGTTTCCACAGGACTAACAAGCGAATAGCACCTGTTTAATTAAAACCTAAGCTTGATTACATGGCACTACAGGGAGGAAAACTCCAGAGGAAAAGCATGAAACTGTTAAAAATCGAGCCTGAAATGAAGATTTTACTTAAACATAAATGAACCCTGTTGTTCAGTAGAAACTGTAAGCTGGTAGGTGCCACATAGGTTCCAATGGCAAGAGTCTTGGGCTACGCTCTCTGTCCCTCACACACACTCCATCTTTGCCTCTTGGCTGTACTGGGAACTTCAAGGAAGAGACAGGCCTAACTAATTTTGTATGTTAAAGTGCAGCACAGGACATGAAACAGAGAGGGCACATCAAAACAAAACAAAACACAAAATAGCACAGCAACTGTCATCTCTCATAGACTCCATTGTCTGATGCTGTATTAAGTGCAGGTGACTTGGGGAAGGGCAAAACATGCCCCTTGTTAAATCCTAGACCTGCCACAGTGACCTAAAACTCAAGGCCTAAGATGCATCTCAGAGGAGTGCGCCTAGTTAAGACAAATTTATAAAATGTTCAACGGTTTCCTTAGAAAAAAAGGAGGAAAGAAAACAATGTTTTTAGGGAAAATTCATGGAGAACTCTCATCCCTTTCATCCTTCCAAATCAATTTTATTTTTTAAATAAGAAAATAAGCTGTAGGATTTTTGAAAAACATATTTTATATATAAATTAAATATAATTCTATAATATAAATTATATATCTATTTCTTCCACATTAGATTCACCAAAAAGAAACAGGTGATGTCAGGAGAAACAGGAGAGAATTCATGTCAGAAAGAATCTGAGAGCGTTCTTCCAATGCCTTATTAAAAAACCAAAAACTAGAAGGCCAATTATGACGAGTATTGTTTTTCTGTTTGATAAATTATTCCCCATCTTATCCTTCAAATGGAAAAGTAAAGCCATATGAACCTATTAAGCCAGCTGAATGTACAAATAAGATGCTTTGCTAAGTTATTATAATCCAAACCAATCATGATGTGATGTGATTTTCAAACATTTACGCATAATATTTCAGGACACGAACACATATTAATGGAACCACTTGCTGCAAAACTGTTTTTGTTTTCCTGTATCACGTCAAACCCACCCCATCATTTCTCTTCATAAGGCTTGGGCAGCACTGTGCAATGGGACCTTCTGCAGTGAAGGTGTTCTGTACTCTATGCTGATCAATGCAGTGCCCACTGTGACTGCTGAGCCCTGGACATGAGGCCAATGCAACCCATGAACTGAATTTTGAAATTATTTAAAGTTAAATAGCCACATGCAGCTAGTGGCCATTGTCCTGAACATTCCATTCTTAGATGAGTAGATTTATTTCTCAAGAATACATAAAACAACACTGAAAATGACCAGTCCCTAACATCGACCTCTTTACAAAAACACACCAAAATGTTGTGTCACTTACTAAAAGCAAAAAAAAAATCCTTTTCTTAGTCCTTCAACGAATTTCCCCCCGATAAGAGGAAACCATATGTTTTTCTTTGTTTGTTTATTTGCTTTGGTTTTCTTAAATGCAAAATGATAGATTTTCCAATGTAGGCAACTCTTTTTCTGCAAATGGGAACCATAGTATTCAGTTAGCTACAAACTCTCAGCAATCCTAAAGATTTCACTATTGCTTTCAAAGAATCCACTTTGAAACAGAATGCTTATCTACTTTCATACGAAAATTTAGCAGTTTCCAAGAAATAACTATTTCTTCTTAAATATGGGCAATTGTGTGCCCTTCTTTAAACAATGCCACCCTCTGGGATCCAGGGGTCTACAGGAATTGACAGCTTGAGATATCTTTATGTTATAACAACACTGTTCATTTCTATGCTCAAGTGATCACTTCCTAAAAGCTTATGATGTTGTGATGGATGGCAGTTGTGGGGGCCTCATCTAGAGAAGGAAAATGAGAAGCATTATAGTTAAGTGGGAACAAGGTGCCCAAAGCAGTTTGGTGATTTCTGTGAAGTGTGTAGCTCATGGATATGACTGCTTACAAATTCCACTTGAAAGAGAGATCCCAGGAGAACAATTTTAGTTATTTGATTTCAGCTGATCCTGTTACTGGACAAGGAAAAAGAATGCATGCCCTTTCTTAATACTTCAAATTCAGGACTTGCATTCACTATTGGGAAGCAGGTGAATCATGACTGAAGCAAAGAGGCAGAGGTACCAACCCAGTGACTAGGACTGTGTGATCACAAGGGAGTACTGACATCCAGAATTTAACTAATCTCTGTTTGTATGTCATGGTGAAAATTGGAAATAACTCCCAATACTAGTGTTAAAAATGTTGAATCTTGGTGCATCTTAAAACACTGTAAAAACAGGCAGAGCAACTTAACTCAGGAAGCAAGGTCCTGATTATGGAACTGTGGTTACATAGCACTTCATCCCAAACCTGCTATGTTCATTGTCCTGCAATCCTGAGAAAATTACTCTCCCCCAGCCACTTTTATTTATATTTCTCTTATCTGAGCTGACATCATCCCCAGTTCCAGAGGTACTGCCTGGACCAAGGCCTGCAGGCAGTCAGCATCTCACATTCCTCTGTCCCTTGAAATGGGTTCAAGAATTGGCACACACCCAACGCTCATTCTATCAGAGTGGGTGTTTTCACTTGTAAGCAAAACCATCCTACTTAACGCACAGGTTCTTTCCAGACACTGTGTCTCTTTCAGACAACACTTTCTTGCATAGCTCCTGCTCTGTTCATCTTGTGGAGGACACAGGTGTCCTAGAAGCGAGTTGTCTTTTCCAAGATGACAACTGAAAACTATGGCAGAAATAGAATTCAAACCAAAGTTTAGAGGCTCCAAATTACATTGAGTGGTTCATTTCAGTAATGACCATAGTAATATTAGCAGTATGTGTGACTTTGTTAATAGTAGAAATTATATTTTCATATCATATTACAGTCATGGCTGATGTTTTAAAACGTCACTTATATTCACCACTACTTTAAAATTATGCTAGCTATTTGACCCATCACTAGATCTTTGTATTAGTCTGTTCCCACGCTGCTAATGAAGACGTACCCGGGACTGGGTAATTTATAAAGGAAAGAGGTTTAATTGACTCACAGTTTCACATGGCTGGGAAGGCCTCACAATCATGGCGGAAGAGAAAGGGGTATCCTACATGCAAGACAGGCAGGCAAGAGAGAGCTTGTGCAGGAAAACTCCCCTTTATGAAACCATCAGACCTCGTGAGACTTATTCACTATCAAGAGAGCAGCATGGGAAAGACCCGTCCCTATGATTCAGTTACCTCCCACCGGGTCCCTCTCATGACATGTGGGAATTATGGGAGCTACAAGATGAGATTTGGGTGGGGACACAGCCAAACCATATCAATCTGGTTACTAACAAGGAAATTGATATGTTATTACTGTTTCACAGATTGTGATACATACATTGCAGTATAATTTATCTCCTTTGTGATGCTATGTATTTTACTTTATGCATGTAAAGTACTTTATACTTTATTTCACTATAAATAATAATGTGAGAAGGTTCTACAGGCTTCTTCAGACTGCCAAAATGATCCACAGAATGAAGAAAGGTTCAGACACTGCAGCACTATACTAGAAGCTCTAGAACAGGGACTAAGTTTGTTTGATTTACTGCTTTCTCCCCTGGGTCTGGAACAATGCTTGGCACATCATAAACATGTAAAACTGTTTGTTCCAACAATTTATGTAATGAATTTTGTAAATGAAGAAACTAAAGCTCAAAGTATTTGGATAACTTTGCAAAGATTCTGGAGCTGGAAAGTGGAAGAAGCAGGATGTGAACACACATCTGCCTGGCCCCCATCACACCCCAAATGCTGCCTGTCACCATTTGAACATGGAGGGTTCCCCATTTCATCAAATAAAACTTTCACAGAGCCACACTCTGTACAACTGATGAAGACAGAGCAGCTGCTCTGTGTGAAGGAGCGTGGAGTGTCTGTATTGTGCTTTTCATTGTCATGATTTTTGTCTAAGTTAGTCTTCAGTTCTCTCTATTGACAGGGGTCACAAGCTGAGATAGCCATCTTTTAGGAGGGCCCTGACAGGAGGAGAGTTAGAGTCAAATGTGTCAGTCAGAGACACAATGAAAAGATGAAGCCAAAATGCATGGAAGAGAATGAATTTATTACTTACAGACCCCAGAGAGGTTATGGGTGCCGATGGGAGGCTGAGGGGAGGTCTGGAGGCAAAGGAGACGTCAACCAGCAGGAGGGGAGAGAGAGAGGACCTGTGGGACTTCACCTTTATTAAGGTTCGTGAACATTCTCCTTTAGGCTTTCCCATGGGGGTTATGGGTTGGATATCTAAAGAAAACATGCTGGAAGTAGGGAACTTATTTACATCACTCTGGTGTTGACAAGTAAATTTTATCATGGTCAGCAGCTGTGGCATTTGTGGATTTGGGGTCAGTGAGATGAGGACAAGCTGGCTGTATCGCAAATTGCACACGGGGAGGGGGAGGTTTAATGAGGCCAAAGATGACAAGTTATGACTGGGTTTTAAACAACTGATGACAGACCTGTAGGTGAATGCCTAGGCAGCAACTCTGTTAAACAAATTTATGGCAGTCTGAAAACTGCAGTTTGGACACACCTGGGCCTCAGACCTCACCTACTTTAACCCCCTCCTATTGCAGCTGTGAGCAACATAACTAGAGATGTCAATGGGGTCTTGCCAGATCACAATCTTGGCTGAACTAGGTCTTTAACTCCTGCCTCCCTTCTGAGCTCTTCCCCGTGCATTGTGATGCTGGCAGCATCCTCAGATCATATGGACAGGCTGGCCAGGATCACCATGCAAAGTGAGGACTGAGTTCCAGCAGACTGACCAAGCATGACAATCACAGTTGTGTTTTTGAGAGGTGCCCCGTGCTGGGCACTGTGCAACACTTACTACACATACCAACTTATTGAATGCTGACGATGACCCTGTGAGATGGTGAATCGGACAGGATAGATGAGATTCGCTGCTGTAACAAAAAATCCCTAGCATATCATAAGTTTTTTTGACTTAAAATAACAAAGGTTTATTTCTTGCTGATACATGTGTCCATCATTAGCTTAAGCCTATTACATCCATGGTCCATATACCAAGAACCAGGCTGATGGAGCAGCCTCTATATGAGAAAGCAAATGTTCACGTGGAAATAACACTCTGAAGTTTCTTGTCATGGGGACAACATTTTCCAGCCCAGAAGTGATACAGTTGACATCTGGTCACACTTACATTGTCAGTTACATTGATTCTACCCAACAGGTAGAAATATTTGTAAGCAGCACTAATGACTATCACAAGTAGGTTCTATTATTAGCCTTATTTTAGGATGGAGAAGGCGACCCTCAGAAAGGTAAGGTGACTTGCCCAGAGTCACATAGCTGGGAACATAGGAGCCAGGCTTGGGATCAGGGCAGCCTGACTCCAGAGACTGGGCCCTTAGCACCCGTGCCATTCAGCCTCTTCCTAACTTGTGGGCTCTCCACTCAGTATCAGGAGAGTCACAGGTACTGCCAATATTACTATAGTCATTACTGAAATGAACCATTTGATGTAATCTGGAGATTTTCCGAGGAGATGTGCATGGTGGTTCAAGTCAGGAAAGCTTCCAACCCAAGTTTCACCTTTACAAAGCCCATCACCATTAGTTTGTGTATTTTATCTCTGAGTCATGTTGTGTACATACAGCTACAGAGATATCATGTCAGAATTGAACAAGAATGTGGTGGCCACACAGTGATGCACTTCAGTTTCATCAGCAGATGCAAGTTGCATGTTTGCTGAAGTAACAACCTAAACTAGTTAACAGCCAAAAGGGAGTCAGGCACAAACAAGTGGTATAGGCATAGCTGTTTAGAAGAGTGAAATATTAGCCTGACGCTTTTTGGAAAATTGTTTATTTTAATAAAACCCACAATCATTTTTAACAAGAACAGTTGTTTCATATGTACATTGAAAGTGTCAATTCATTAAATATAAATATTTAAATGATACTACAGTTTTGGTAACTCTCTTGTTAGTTTCATATTTTTAAAATATTTCTGAAGATCTAAAAAAAATGGAAATGGGTCAAAGCTTTCAACTGCACTACAAGGCACTGGTCCACAGGGAGGGGCTACAGCTCCTGAGAAAAGCCCCTTGCATCTACCCAGAGACTCCACCAAAATCTAGGCAGCTCCATGCTGCAGAGTGCTCCCCCACCTGGATTTCGTGCAGCCTCAGAGGTGGACACTTCAAGCCACCCGCAGGTGATTTAGCAAAGCCAATTTCATTACGATGGGTCAGAAATAGAAACTCATTATTTCAAGGGGGCATGAAGTAGCCTCTAGAGAAGCTGTCTTAGGGAAGATTGGGTTTTTCTTCTGAAAGCTATCCCTTTATCTTTTAATATAGAAAAATGGAACCAGGACTCCAAATGCTTTCCTAGAACAATTTGTAAGATGACAAAGACGGATGCAAGATGCCATTCCCAGAAATCATGCTGGTTGAGGACTCAGATGTTCTGTCTGCTCCTAAGAGGACATGTGGTCTTAGAAAAGTATTTTCTCCTCTGTGGGAGTTTTTTTCACATTAAATTATGAGGGGACAGCAATTGCCATTCTGGATTACCCTCACAGGTATTCAGGTAAAAACCTGGGAGTAACCCAGATCCCAGCTTGGAGGAGAGGAGGGGCACTCATCAGACAGGCTCCCGCTGGGTCTCCCCTGCAGTCTTCCCCAGATACAGAGAGCCCCCTCACTTGAGATCACACCCCTCCCAGGGCAGTGGACCTGGTGCCTGAGTGAGATGGGGTGCAAAGGCCCATTTTTTGCCTGATGCTGGCCACTGAGATCAGCAATGCCTGCCCCAGAATTCACTTCTGGGCTGGCTGACGTAGATTCTGCAACCAAGTTTGACTCCAAATTCTCTCTTTCCCAGGTCTTTGTCCCTTACATTTTGCACCTCAAATTCTGTCTGAGCATCTACTACGGAGAGTTCAACTTGCAGCTGACCCAATAAAAATGAGAATGAGTGGGTTCGAACCCCAGCTTCCTTGCCATTAGAGAGGCAATGCAGAGCCAAGCTCTGTCCACTCTCAGAGTGCATCCTGTGGGATGGAGCCTGCATTGAAAACCTGCTCATCAAGACAAAAGGAGAGCCTCTGACATCTGCCCATCCCTGTCTCACCACCCTCCACCTCCCACTCTCTGCATCCTCATCATGCTTCCTGGAGTCACTTTCCTCAAGCTATGGCTGCACCTAAATCTTTGCTTCAAAATCTGCTTTTGGGGGTAACCCAAGCAAAGACAGCCTCACATATCCCATGGGCACCTGTAAAACACAATACCAGCATTTCCCACTGAGTCACACTGCTTCGTAACCTAAAAGCCTCCTTCACGGATAGTCTCCCATAAAGCCCCAAAGTATATCTCCTGTGGTGGGTGACGTCCATTTTGAAATGTAACAAAACAAAGGAAAAGGAAATCACACCTCTCATTGAGTGTCCCCAGAGACCTTTTGTTATAGTTTTTCTTTGTCAATCTATGGCCTGTGAGACTGGTCTATAGAAGGTCTCATTCTCCAATTAAAGAATTAATGAGTACATATGTATGAAGCATTTTTAGAAAGACTACCCTACATTAATCTCAATTTGCTGGATGAAAGAATGAAAACATGGACACAGAGTCTGGAGGTATCTCAAAATATTTCTCTCCTATCCAAGTGCTTGGAGTGGCAGAGACGCAGCTCAGTGCTGCTCAACAGCCTTGTTGTCCATGAGCCCGAAGCTCTGGTTGCAAGCCCTACTGAGTTCACTCCTGAAACCGAACCTCTCCCAGCATAGGGCACACCTGAGAAGGTCCAGGAGAAGGCCTTTGGGTAGGTGACAACTGAGTGAGACCAGAATGAGAAGACAAGTTGACCATGAAAATCTCTTGGGAATGAGGATCTCAGAGGAACAGCTGGTTTCAATGGCCTCAGGCAGAAGTGAGCCTGGGGTGCTCACCACAAAAGAATGCCAGGGTCTTCTGTCACTTAGTGAGGGACAAGGAGAGTGTTTGAACACAACACTGAAGTGGGAGGCAGGGGCCTGATCCTGATAGGCCATGCAGACTGCAGGGAGGAACTTGGATTTTATTCTGAATGTAATGGGACACAAGACCACGTTTTAATAGGAGCAGAGCAAAGGAACTGTGGCTCTGGGACCACCAAACCTTCCCATCTTTATGGATTATCACATGAATTTTGCATATTGAAAGCTCTAACTATCAGTATGAAATCTGTTTTCGTTCATGCAATAAACAGAATAATGGTCCTCTCACTTCCAAAAGATGTTCGCATCCTAATTCCCAGAACCTGTGAATATGCTCCCTTATATGGTAATAAGGGCTTGAAAGACATGATTCATTTAAGGACCTCAAGATGGGAAGATTGCCCGAGATTATTTGAACGTGCCCACTGTAACCATGGGGGTTTCATAAGAGAGACAGAGTGACATAAGGTAAGACTCGATCAGCCATGGCTTACTTTGGAGATGTCAGGGAGAAACCAGCTAGGGAATGTGAGCACCTTCTAGAAGCTGAAGGAAGGAACGAATTGTGCCCTTGAGGCTTCAGAAGGAACAGAGCCCAGCCAACACCTTGATTTCAGCCCTATAAAGCCCATTTTAGACTTCTGACCTCCAGAAATGTAAGAGAATAGTTTTTGTTGTTTAAAGTCACCAAGTTTTAGTCATTTGTTACAGCAGCAATGAGAAACTAATATAGTTCATCACTTTAGTTGTCTCCTGACTTTACTAGACCCAAAACATTTGTTTAAGGGGCTGTTTATATCCTGTAATACGTGGGAAGAAGCACACTTGAGGAAATTCCCTCTCCTCAGTAATGAACACCTTGAATAGTGACATTGAAGAACCTGTATAGAATTGGGAGACCCAGGGTGATGTACCACCAAAATGTATGGGTTCTTAATGGATTAAGGCCCTATAACCTTCTGAAACTCAAATTTATTTTTCAGTAAAATTGAGATTCATTATTCATTCAGCAGATATGTACAGATCACCTATTCCATGTCAGACACTGGTCTAAGTCCTGGGTATAGCAGAGAAAAATACTAGAGGGAAAAATACCTTGTAACCCAGGAAGCTTACATTCAACTTGGAAAAAGACACCACACACAAATATATATTGACAACACATAGGTATGATAAAGAAACATAAAGCTAGAGAAGAGACAGTAATTGATGGGGTTAATGTTTCACACAGGGTGTTTGGGGACATAAGCTCTGATAAAAATGATATTTATGCAGAGATTTGCTTGATGTAACTGGGGAGCCAAATCACTATCTGGAAAAGAGAGAGTCAGCCACAGGAATAGCATGTGCAAAAGTCCTGGGGCGGGACTATGTATGGAAGGTCTGAGAGATAGTAAGGAAGCCAGAGTGGCTGCAGTGCGGTGAGCGAAGAAGACAGAGAGTGGTGGGAGGTGGGGTCAGAGAGCAGGCCAGGACCCCAGGCTGGTGGTCCTAGTAGGCCATAGGAGGAATTTGGGGTGCTTGCTCTGAGAAAGATAAGAAGGCACTGGCGGGACCTGGGTAGAGGTGGGACATTATCTTACCAGCAAAGAAGTGATTACAATAACCAGGCAAGAATGATAGCAGACACAAGAGTGACAGTAGCAGAAGTGTCGAGGAAGTTTGGAAAAGTGAGACACTTTGAAATTAGAGCTGGCAGTTTTCTGATGGGTTGAATGTAGGAGTGAAAGAAGGAGAAGAGACAATCCACATTTGCCACTTGAGTCTGAATACATGGAAAGATGGTGCATGAGTTTCCTAGGGCTGCTACAACAAAGTGCCACAAACTGGAGGCCAGAAGTCCAAAATGAAGATGTCAGCAAGGTGGGTCCTACTGGAGGCTCTCAGGTAGAATTTGTTCCCTCTCTCCCAGCTCCTGGTGTTGCCAGCAACCCATGGCGTTCCTTGCCTTGTTGATGATTTGCTCCAACCTCTGCTTCTGTCTTCATGTGGCCTTCTCGCTTGTGTCTCTGTGTGTCTTAAATATCTCACTGCCTTTCTCTTATCCAGACACCTGTTACTGGATTTAGGATCCAATCGAGATCCAGGATGATCTTATCTCGAGATTCTTAACTTAATTGCATTTGTAAAGTTCCTTTTCCCAAGTAAAGTGAAGCTCACAGCTTGGATATATCTTTTGGGGCAACCAATCAACCCATGACAGATGAAAGCAGCCTTTTCTGGTTTTGAGAAGACAAGAATTGCAGGGGAATAGAGATCAACAAATCAATTTGGGACACTGCAAGTTGAAGAGACCTATTAGCCACTTGAATGGAGATTTTGGGGAGATAGTTGTCCATATGAAAGTAGAATTTCAGGGCAATCATGGCTGAAGATATTAATCTGGGATAAATAAATGACATTTAAACACATGCTACTGAATCAGGTCACTTGGTGTAAAACTAATGATGCATAGAGAAAATATGTTTTATAAAATTTGATTTCTGGGATACGTCAATGTTTGGAGCTCTGGAAGAGAAAAAAAGACTAGCAAGTCTACCAAAGAACATTAAGGCAGTGAGGTTAAAGAAAAAGGACTGAGAGAATTGTGTACCAGATGGGAAGTGAACAAAATGTTTGAAGAAAAATCAAGTAATCAGCTCCACCAAATATTGTTGAGCATTCAAGTATAAAGATCATTGTTTCTTCTCTACTCACCTTACAGAGAATCAAATAAGAATATGCATAACAAAGCATTTGGTAAATCACAAACCATTATAATAATGCAAAGTGACATTATGAGCCCAGGCTCCTACCCTGTTTTACCTGAGATCAAAACACTCCTGTTAAACTCTACCCTTGTGATATGGTTTGGCCATGTCCTCAAAAAATCTTGTCTTGAACTGTAGTTCCCATAATCCCCACGTGTCATAGGAGGTAATTGAATTATGGGGGCAGTTACCTCCATCCTGTTCTCGTGATAGTGAGTGAGTTCTCACGAGATCTGATGCTTTTATGAGGAGCTCTTCTCCACCTTCGCTCTGCACTTCTTGCTGCTGCCATGTAAAGAAGGACATGTTTGCTTCCCCTTCCATCGTGGCTGTAAATTTCGAGGCCTCCCCAACCATGCTGAATGGTGAGTCAATGAAACCTGTTTCCTGTACAAATTACCAAGTCTCAGGTATGTCCTTATAGCAGTGTGAGAATGAACTAATATGCCTTGTGATAAAATATTACAGGCCAGCACAGAAACAAAACTCTCTGGGAAGAATTTAGACAAATGAGAGAATTAGAACTCTGAGGCAAATATAACCAGTTGCCATTTCAGATGCAGAATGATGGAATTAACGTCACCCAGAGTCAGGCATTGCCTATAGAGATGTCTGCATATTCAGGGCAATGTGGAGAGAAAGGCATTCTTCAAAGGACATACACGGTGTCATTAGCATCAGGCCAGAATCTCCTGGCTCCATCTGCACTAAGGCCAGATGAGCTCCACATGCGCAGACCCTGATGGCTTCTGTGATATAGACAGCAGGCTTTAAAAAGATCCTTTGCACAGATGTTTTCAAAATTGGGCCATGCTTAGTTCTGTGAATATTGAGAGGCAGGGAGACTACAATAGCATCATCATTATTAAAAGTTGCACCAGTAAAAATTTCCAATTAGTCCTCACTCCAGGGCTTTTGAGTATAAGGCTATACTAAAACTAAAGCTTTCAATTCCATAGGTGTAATTCCTGCTACATGACTAATGGGTCTCATTTATACAGACAGCCCAGAAACAGGGGTAGCTATGACCCTACAGAAAGAACAAAGGACCCGGTTCCTGGAGACCTTTGCCTCAATCCCAACCAACCACTCAGCAGAGGCATCAGGCATACTTGTCAATTTCTTTCTGTGTCACTTTGGGCAAGATACCTGGTATCTGGCAGCCTCAGTTTTCTCATCTCTAGAATGGAAGGCACAACATCCATGTCGTAGGGGACTGGACGATGAAAAGAGAAAAATCTACATAAAATAATAAATCATGTGTGTGATAATGTTGTTGTTATTGCACATTTTCAGTTTAATCTCAAAGCTGATTTCTGTCCTACCCTTTATGAGCTGCATGAATTGTCATCAGTAAAATACAGGCAGAATTGCGTGGGTGTCATACTTCAGGGAGGTAATATAGGAATTGAACAAGCTAAAGTGTTTACTGGTGATTACTAGAATATAAAGCAATGCAAAACAGTAGTAAAATTGTGTATAACACCCTTATTTCGTGACATGTACTGTCCTCAATAATTTTACATAAATCATATCATTTTATCTTACAAATGACATAAAGAGTTAAGAACTGTTAATAAATTCATGATACAAATGAGGAAATGAAAATGCGATGATAAGAAACAACCTAAAGCTAGTGTGTCCTCTCCGTGGGCCCTTGGAACTTTTTGCTCTCCCATCCTGTCATATGGCTTCCACCATCAGAGACACCTTGAGGTCCAAGATGAATGCCAGAGCTCCAGTCATCTCCTCTCAGTTAAAAGCAGCAAACAGAAGACAGAAGAATAAAAAGAGCCCTTGTTTCCAAGCTGAGGCAGCTCCCTTCAAGTGGTCTTTACAGAAGCTCAACACACTACGTCCACTAATATCTCACGGTCCACAGCTTAATCACCTGGGGAACTAAGCTGCAAAGGAAGATGAGAAATGTGGACTTTTAGCTCACCATTGATCCTAATGAAATTCTGTTATTAAAGAGGAAAGAGAAATCAAATATTGCCTAGGTAACTGGCAGTCTGCTACATCATTTAAAATGAATTTAGTGCTCTGATAAAATTTTTTAAAGTTAACATGCTCTTTGTTAGACAACAAAACATAATAGAAAAGAATAAAGGAAACAAGAAACGAGAAAGCCAGAAAAGGCAAAAATGAAGAAAGGAATCAGACAGTTAGCCGGGTTGTTCCTCCATAGATCACATCTGCTTAGAAATCCAGGAATTGCAACTAAATCTGAATGGGAAACTGAGACACAATTTTTTTGTTCTTCCTTCTGATAGGTACTTCCATAAACCCTCCCACCCGTGCACCTGAAAATTAAGCGGTGAGCAGAGTGGCATTCCAAATGCACACAGGGATTTATTCGTTCGCTGTTTAAACATGTCTTAAACATCAGATCTCAGCTTCTTTGTCCAGTAAACTTCTACTTGTTCTTCAAGACCCAACACAATTGCTCCTATTGTAGGAGCCCTTCATGATTCCTCTTACAGAGTTACTAGCCATTCCTCTGTGCTCCCTTGGAGCTTGGTACCATCTTACAGAACAGCATTTCTAACCCTGGATTGGAACCATCATTTTTTACCTGCCTAATCCCCAAACTAAACGAGATTGTCAGGAGAAGGATCATGTCTTATTTTCGCTTATTTCCTCAAATGCCCACTGCAGGGCCTGCTATGTAGGAGGCAAATTACACAAGATCACAAAGACCCCGCTATCCCCTCACAATGGTTACAGCGTTATCAAGAAGCAAGGGCCTCTAGAGGTGGGTCCTTAGTCAATGGCTTCACCACTTCCCCTTGAAGAGCAGCAATTTTAGGAGACCAAGGCCACAATTCACCCTTTTCCCCAGCAGCCCAGCTAGTCATAAACCATACCAAATGTAAGACTTTCGAGAGCCAAGAAAGGCACAAGATGCACACAAAGTGTGGTTACATTCCAACAAACAGAATACCCACCATATGCTAAGCACTCTTCCAGATTCTTTGAATAGAAAATTATAAAGCCATACAAGATCTGTGTCCCTATGGAGGATACACTAATGGAGAAAGAGAGAAACAATAATAATAATATGTAAATTATAATAATATGCAAATAAATATGTATACAATCATTTTGAAGATGGCTGAGTATAATAAAGGACAGAAAAGAGTTTAATATCATAGAGAATGACTAGGAAACAGCAGGTCTACCAAAGAAAGGGAATCCTGTGTTTCCTTGCCATGATGGGCAAGCTGGAGCCAGTCCTCTGGGGGCAGACTGTTGCTGGCAGAAGCAAGGGCATGTGCAAAGGTCCTGAGGTGAGAGCAGAATTAAGCTGTTCCTGGAAAGAAGGAGGATGGAGTGTGGAGAGGGAGAGGAAGATCAGTGAGAGATGCGGGAACAGAGCAGACAGAGCCAAATCAAGAAGATATCTTTAGTTGACAATGAGAAATTTACATTCACTACTAACTGTGATTGGCAGTCAAAGGAGAATTTTAAGCAAAAGACTCATATCATCTGTTTTATGACTTAAAAAGATGACTGTGGTCACTGTGTGGAGACTGAATCAGCTAGAGGCCAGAAGGGGGAAAGAGGCTGGGCAAGAGGTTGAGGAAGTTTACCCAGGGAGAGGTCCACGTGACTTGGGCTGGGATGGAGGCAGCAGAGACGGATAAAAATAGGTGACGTCTACATGTATTGTGCAGGTTAGAGTCCCCAGGGCTTGCAGACTGACTAGATATGGTGGTAGAGTAGAAGAAAGTCATCAGCATTTGTCTTAGATCTGTGGTCAGGGCAATTTTGTGGATGGTGGCACCATTTGCCGAGATGGAGATAAATGAAGGAGTAGTGCTGTCAGCCAAGAGAGGGGACACTCCTTAGAACTCCCTTCAATGTTGGAATTAAGCCCTTTGCAATTAAGTCACCAGTAAAGGGATGCAGCCCAGTCCAAAACAAATTCTTCTGCTCAGTTCATCAAAGTGAATTGGCTGGAATTTCACCGTATCAGACTTTTGTTTGCACATCACAAATGGTGCCTTTTGAACCACAGCTCGTATTGGAATTACTATGTCATTAGCCGTGGACTGTGAGCAGAAGACTGAATCAATTGGCAGTGAAATGAGGATGAGCTGCTGTTGAAAACACAAATGACTTCCATGGAAATGACTCACTAATTGTTAATCAATTGCAATCGATTTTCTGGTCTACCACTAGGGATGGACTGTGTGTCCTGCCTGAGATAAGGCCAACCTTTGGCCATTTCACTACAACCAGCAAGGACTTCTAAGCAGAATTCATGCCATGCCCCCCGACCTGCCACCACCACTCCAAGATAAACATTTTCCAGTAAAGAGCTGAAACTTCAGCCAGGCACGGTGGCTCATGCCTGTAATCCCAGCACTTTGAGAGGCTGAGGCTGGCAGATCATGAGGTCAAGCGATCAATACCATCCTGGCCAACATGGTGAAATCCCATATCTACTAAAAATACAAAAATTAGCTGGACATTGTGGTGTGCGCCTGTAGTCTCAGCTACTCGGGAGGCTGAGGCAGGAGAATCACTTGAGCCCAGGAGGCGGAGCTTGCAGTGAGCCAAGATCGTGCCACTGCACTCCAGCCTGGCAACAGAGTGAGACTCTGTCTCAAAAAAAAAAAAAAAAAAAAGAAAAAGAAAAAAAAAAGAGCTGAAACTCTGGAGCCATTGGCTTTCAGGTCAGTTCAACCTCCGTTTAGGTGGTGATTATAAAAATATTCTCCTTGAACTTTGGGAGGCTGAGGCGGACAGATCACGAGGTCAGGAGATCGAGACCATCCTGGCTAACATGGTGAAACCCCGTCTCTACTAAAAATACAAAAAAATTAGCCGGTCAAGGTGGCAGGCACCTGTAGTCCCAGCTACTCGGGAGACTGAGGCAGGAGAATGGTGTGAACCCGGGAGGCAGAGCTTGCAGTGAGCCGAGATCGCGCCAATGCACTCCAGCCTGGGCAACAGAGCGAGACTCCGTCTCAAAAAAAAAAAAAAAAAAATTCTCCTCGAACCAGGGAGAGAGCAAGAAATTTAAAGGACCAGGGAAATGTGATCCTCCACAACTGAGCATCCCTGGAAGAATGAGCTTGTTGAAATAAGCTCCAACATTGCTGCCAAAACCAAATACAATCTGTGTTATATGTTTTTTATTTGTACGAATGTATGGGGCATGTGAGAAATTTTCTAACGTGTATATAATATATAGTGATCAAGTTAGGTTGAAGTATTTGGGTTGTCCTCACCCAAGCATGATACACTTTGTTAAGCATAGTCACCCTAGTGTGCTATCAAACATTGAATTTATTCCTTCCATCTTACTATATATTTGTAGTCTTTAACCCACTTCTCTTCATCTTTCTTCCTCCCCTCCCACTCACCCTTTCCAGGCTCTGTTATCCATCTTTCCACTCTCTACCTCCATGTTTTCCCATTTTTTAGTTTCCACATGTAAGTGGGAACATGTGATATTTGTCTTTATATACCTGGCCTATTTCACTTAAGATAGTGACCTCAAGTTCTATCCATGTTGCCACAAATGACATAGTTGCATTCTTTTTTATGTCTGAATAGTGTTCCATTTTGTATATACACCACGTTTTCTTTATCCATTGATCCATTGATGAACGCTTGGGTTGGTTCCATATCTTTGCTATTGTGAATAGTTCTGCTATAAATATGGGAATGGAGGTATCACTTTGATAAATTGATTTACTGTCCTTTGGGTGGATACCCAGTAGTGAAATTGCTGGATCAAATGGTAATTCTATTTTTAGTTTTTTGAGAAATCTGTGATATTATAGCAGTGGGAGAACAACTGACTCAGAGGAAAAACTCTAATGCCAATGAGAGCCAGGCAGGTTAATGAGTGAATCAGGTCTGGTTGGGGAGAAGCTGCCATAGAGGAATTGTGGAAGGGACACCAGGAGCTGAATGTCAGGCTTCATTTCCAACTCAGTCGATAATAACTGTGTGACCTTAGGCAAGTCACTTAACCTCTCTGTGCCTCATCTGTAAAATGGGGATTCTCTTTGTCTCTGCCCATGAGATGTTGTCCACAGTAAATGTTCAGTAAGTGTCAAAGTTGGCATCATTGTCATTGTAACTAGAGAGTCCATGCCGAGTTTCAGGCAAGCAGCATCTTCTCAGCTACAGCTAATTGTAGCAAGGGGGACAAGGGGCCCAGAGTAGCCAGGTCTTCAACTATGTCACATCAGAAGCTTCCATGTTAAGTAAAATTTCTAAATTTTAATCTTGAAAATAAATTTAGAAATTGTGAATATGTTGGGTGGGCCAAACAAAACACATGGAGGATACATCTTCCCGAGAATCTAAAACTGCGCACATCACATGGGTGAGGCAGGTTGTGTAGTCTCAGTGCCCAACTTAAAGGCAACAATGCTGTTCCTTCTTTCACTGATGGTGTTTCCTGAACACCAGGTGCTCTGCTGTACCATTCTGAGACAGGCAGTGCTGTACCCATCAGCAGATGGGAATATTGAGGCTAGGGGAGATCCAGAGACCTGCCCAGTGCTCACAGTCTGTTAGTGGCAAGGCTGGGACTTGAAACTAGGTTGTCCTGATTCCAGATGCAATTTACTTAGCTGTGGTGCTACATGCTTCTCCTTCCACTTTCAAGTATATCTGCTTTTCCACTTCTCCTGCTCAGAGGCAGACCATGGCCAAAGTGGCAACTGGACCAGATGTTTCCATCCAGTTCTAAGCAGCCCCAGGCAGGAGCATCTGCTGCCTAACCTGCCTCATCTGCCGCCTAACCTGCCTCATCTGCCTTCAGCACAAGAAAACAGCCAGTGACAAAATGACTGAGCTTGCGGCAGCTACTGCTGGCGTTGTGCCTGATAAGTATTAGGTGGAAGCCATTGTTTCCCCTACAGACATTTCTGTTTGGGTTTATATACATTCATGTGCTTCATACAGAAACCAAATTTAATTAAACACAGGGAGCTGACTCAAGCATACTAAAAAAAAAACCGTGATGGATCATTTCCCGTCCTCACCTGCCTTCCTGTTAGAACTTCCCAGGAAGGTACTGGCCAGGACAAATCTTGCTCATCCTGTTCAATGACACTGTTAGGTTCTGAGGATGCAAGGGCATGGTCCCTTTCTCTCTGTCCTTCATCCTTTCTTCCTTAATTGAACTGAAAATAAAACCTAGAGAAAGAGATTCCAACAAGAATCTACAACCATGAACATCATAAAACTCAATGTCATAGACTGGCCAAGGCTTTTTACCAATGAAGATGCCAATTCCCTGGCCAATGTCAAGAGCAAGACATTCACCCAGGAGGTCTGAAAGCCACTGGCCCAACATGGCACCCAGGATCCTCAGAGAAATGAGATGAGGACTGGAAATAGAGCAGATTCTGGGGCCAGAGAGCCAGGTTCAAATTATGTTTCTGCCACTATAGTCTCAGGGAAGTCATATGTATTTGGATTCTTTTTGGTTTGGTTTCAAAAGATGTATCCTACCTAGTTCAATGAATCTGGAGATTTGTTTTCAGTTTCGTTTTTTTTCTTTTGATAACACAGGCACATGATAAAGAAATGTAGAAAGTACTTGCAGATATCCAGGTAAAGGTAAGTTCACATATGACGAAAGGAATAACAGTAAAGTGAATATCTGTGTTCTCTCAACATGGATGAAGAAATGGAATATACATGTGAAGTGTTTAGTTTTAAAAATCTCATTGTCATCATTGATCTTATTATTCTGGTTTCCCTATTTGTCTGCAGATAGACAAATGCATAGATGCTGTGAAACGCATATATGAGTGCAGCCCTTGTTCACTAATGTCATAGGATACACAGCATTCTGTATATGCATTTCGCACTTACCAGTGATTAAGCTGCTATCTGATGTTTGATTTCAGGGTCTGTGTTCATGACTTCTATGCTAGAACAATGGTCTGAGCTTAGCTGGAGTAGCTGAAAGAAATGTTATTCTAGTGTTAGCTAGATGGGAGCTGACATGGCCACTGACATCAACACTGGGGCACCGGTGACCACTTTCCTGGAGAACAGGGTGCATGTTGGAGTTTAGTAGACATGTCTCGGCACTCTGAAGGGAGAAGATCCTTCAGGGCACTCAGCCCTACAGGGAAAGTATTATACAATGCAGAAAGCCACAAATGCAAATTGGAAGTCCACAGACTGATTTTGGTCAGTACATACCCAAAATGATCCAAAAGGTTACTCTCTCCCTCTTATCAAAGCATTGAGTCAATTGTCCTCAACAAGTTCTGGTTAAAGCCAGGAATGAATGCTTACTGAAACCACCAATTGCAAATGAACCAAGGACCACAACACAGACTGGCCTTGAAATTCCTTGGAGCTATTGTGAATAATGCCACAATAAACATATGTGTGCATGTGTCTTTATAGCAGCATGATTTATAAGTTTTAGGGTACATGTGCACAATGTGCAGGTTAGTTACATATGTATACATATGTAACTAACCTGCACATTGTGCACATGTACCCTAAAACTTAAAGTATAATAATAATAAATAAATAAATAAATAAATAAATAAATAAATAAATAAATGAAATTCCTTGGAGCAGGATTTCTCCACTTTTGTGCTATTGACATTTGGGGTCAGATAAGTCTCTGGGGTGGAGGTTGTCCCACGCATTGTAGGATATTTACATGGCCTGTTCTCTACTCACTAGATGCCAATAGCAATACCCCTGCCCTCAGTTGAGGATTTGAGGATAACTAGGATGTCTCCAGACATTGCTAAATATGCCCTGAAGGTGGAGACAGAATCACTCCATTGAGGATTACTGATTAAGGTTATAGAAGTTTATCAAAATGTACATTCACAAAAGGCTTTCTATACCCAGTTAGGTAGAAAATGCCAAGTGTTCACTTAGCAGCCTCTCGGGCACCTGGGACGTTGGAAGGGATAAGAAGAGGCTGGCAGGAAAGGGTGAGCATGGACCCAGTCTGGCCAATGGGACATCAGGGCAAGGCCCCGGGGAGTTTCCAGGCAGTCCACTCCGGCATGAGACACACCCTCTAGAGATCACCACCGCACCCTTCTGTTTCTAAGCATACCTGTGTGAGAACACAGTGCCTGAATTGGTGACCTCCACCTTGCAGCCCAAGGCAGCAAGCCTGAGATCAGAAGAAAAGTGCTGAGGACAGTAGGTAGAAGGAAAGAAAGAGCCACATCCTCCCTTTGTCCTTTTAACCTAGAAGTGGAAACAGCCTCCTCTTACTGCTGAAACTCAGGGAGCCTCAATGCCTAGAGTGGTCATAGCACCTGTGTACAGCCCATTTACTACATTGCTGTCTTCTAAATACAAAAGGAGTTTGGGTGTCCTGGTAAGACACTGACTAATATAATAACCATCCAGTATTTTATTTGTTTTGCATTTAATTCTGTAGGTGGGTAATCTGCAAATCTTTTTCATATTTTAAAGAATCCTAGTAGTGGGTTGATTCAGAACAGTGTTACCTCAGTGAATTAATGTGTACACTGTACCCTTCCAAATAAAAAGCATTGTGTAAAGGCAAAAAGGTCGTTCAACTACTGATCTTTTTGGTTCTTGATTTACAAGAAATAGATGCATATAAAATACTTATAACCAAGTGTGAATATGGATTATCTTCCTCTGAGAACAGGGGTCTTTCTGAAAGAAGCAGGGAAATTAGCTAACACTTACTGACCGAGGACAACCTTCCGTAGTTTATGCGATTTGGAAGCAGCTAAAACAGTTGATACAAAAGATAACACAAAACAAGCAAAAACATCAAAACCAAACAACACTTATCATTCTGTGACTAGTTTCTTCAAATCCTTTCAGAGCTAATTTTCAAGGTGAACTAAGAGATATACCACAACAAACCAGCACCCAGCGTGGCCAGCTTCTTCAGACCGTAATTAAGGCCACCAGCTATTTTAGGTACTAACAAGACACTTTCCTCGTTCCTCGTTAGCCTGATTTTGTTGGAGGAGATTTTGATAGCCACAGAGGCCATAGAAGTTTAAATGGGTGAATTGCATGGTATATGGCTTACATCTTAATAAACCTGGTTCTTAAAAAGCTTAGTACTTTTCATCGCATCTATATCTTCAACCTTGGCACAAGTCAGCTTCATCTCTGACCCAGGCTGCTGCAAAATCTCCCACAGTGGTCTCCCTGTGGAGACAAAAGTCTCCTTTTGCCCCAACTCTACCCCATCATCCTATCTCCAGGCAGCAGTCTAGTGATGCTGTTAAAATATAAGTCCTATAATGTTACTCTCTATTCAAAATCTTTGATGTAGTCATCTCATTCACAAAAAACTGAAAGTCCTTATTGAACGTATAAAGTCTTGGCAATCTGAGTACCCTTGCCTGCCCTGCCCACTGTCTGTTCACGATCATCTGCTAACCTTCCCTGGCTCACTCTGCTCCAGCGGCTCTGCCCCTCTTGCTGTTCCTGCAGCACCAAGCAGGATTTTGCTTCACGTCTTTGCACTGGCACAGCCCCTGCCAGGACCACTCCTCCCTCATGACACTGTCTTAATCTGTGTTGCTGCAAAGGAATACCTGAGGCTGGATCATTTGTGAAGAAGAAAGGTTTATTTGGCTCACAGTTTTGCAGGCTGTATGAGAAGCATGGCGCCAGCATCTGCTTCTGTGAGAGCCTCAGGCTGCTTCTACTTCTGGTGGAAGGTAAGGGGAGCCAATGTATGCAGATCACATGGCAAGAGAGAGAAGCAAGAGAGAGAGAAGGAGGTGCCAGGGACTTTTCAACAAGCTCCTACAAGAACTAAAAGTGTGAACCCACTTACTCCTGCAAGAATGACACCAGGCCATTCATAAGGGATCTGTCCCCAGGATCCCAACACTTCCCACCAGGCTCTACTTCCAACACTGCGAATCAAATTTCAACAAACAAACCATAGTGGATACCCACCCCCCATTGCTGCCTCCTCTCCTTCAGGTCTTCATTCATGTGGCCCCTCCTAAGTGAGGTTTTGATTGACAGCTTCTCCTAAAACCCACTCATCCAGGCTGGCACTCCTTACCCTCTCTCCTTGCTTTATTTTTTTCCCAGAGAACTTAGCAACATCTAACACACTAAATATTTAACTTATTTTTATTTTGTGCCTCCCCACTGTGAGGAAACTTTTTTGATGTCAGGGATTTTGCTTGTTTGCTGCTGTTTCTCCAAGAGTAATTGGCACATAGTAGCAACTCCACATACATACCGTGAGCGAATAAACAAACAAATGGATGAATGAATGAATGAATGAAGAATGAATGAATGAATGGCTTGGCTGTGAGCAACAGCACAAAGTCACTTCCACATGTGATTCCTTCTTCTTCCTGGCAGCCCTAATTTCCAGTTCTTTCCTATGAACTTCTTCTGCCTACTTTTGTGCCCATGACTTGATCCTCTTGTTTATCAGTCACTGTCCCACATTTCCCACTTGCATTTAGGATCTTTGTAGCCAAGTTTATCTCTACCGATCCCACTGCCCTCTTAACAGAAACAGAGATTTCCTTTGTCCAAGAGAATTGTACAACAGCAAAGCCAGGCTACATTGGAACCTCAAGAGGCCAAGCTTGAGGTTTGGCTGCTGCATTTAATTGGTATCATGCATCTGATGCAAAAGTCTTCTCCTGGGCATTTATTAAGCACTCACAGAGTGCTGAGCACCAACATACGGGAAAGATGCAAAACCCAGTCATCCTTGAGTCAACTTACTCTAGTGTGTAAGGTTTGGTCTACAATGAGATCTGAAAGTCTATTGAGACTCTTTAACTTCTTGGAGACAAAGGTTGGATCTGATTTATTGGGGGAACCCTTCACAGTATTCTCAGGCAATTAATGCCCAATAAATATTTGTTAATATCAAAACCAGGAGCAACCCATTTAAGATTACTATATTTTAAAAAAGCATCACAGCCAAGATAAAATGACTTAGAATTAATGTCCACCGGCAAGGAGGGCCATGAAATGGTAATGTTTCAAAAGCAGTTCTTGTTACAACTGACTCAGCACTGAAAAGGAGAGTGAAGATGACCTTTTCATGGGGTACCACAAGTGACAAGGGTCACCGACTTTGTCCAGGAAAATTAGAGCCTATAGCACTTTAGAAGCACTAGTAATTATCAGTGATTATTTAAATGCCACTAGAGCAAAGAAGGAAATTAAATGTCCATCTGAAAGAAAATGTATACACATGCACACACACCTAGAAACGTATATACAAACATACATACTTATGCTTTCTGTTCAGAAGAAAAAACACAAGTGAGATATTCAAAAACTGTAGTTCAAAGTACATGTCCTGAACATCCTCTAAGTGCAAAGACACTGGGCTATAAAGACAAGTTTAAATACTGCCTCCAGCCCCAGAAAGCTTGAGAATTTATTGAGGGAATTATGATTACCTCCAAGTGGAATGGCATACTGAATCCCATTTCAGACTCAATTAAATTCAAATGCTTGTAATTCTGGGGTCCCTGTAAGACTTTTCAACTGGGCAGAAATTCAATAGAAAGGATTTCCTGGCTCTTGTAAATATGAAATGTGTAAACATCCTTAAGTGGGGAGCTCTCCTTCAGAAGAAATGAAACACTCTGTCTCCAGCCAATGAAAATTCTTTGGTTATAGCTCCTACTTGGTTCATTTTGTTAATTACAAAAGCTCTTTCTTCTAGGACAGGGTTTCTCAGTTTGGGCACTAGTCACATTTTAGACCAGATGATTATTTTTTGTAAGGGCAGCTGTCTTATGCATTGTAAGATGCTTAGCAGCTTTCCTGGCCTCTACTCACAACATACCAGCAATGCCCCAGTGGGACAACCAAAAATGTTTTCAGACATTTGCCCGTGTTCCTTTGGGGACAAAATGCCCTCAGTTCGAGTCCACTGGTCTAGGATAATTACTCTAAAGTAATTAGATCTAACCATACAGTAGAAATAATTATGCAGATGTAACTTCTCTAACTTCTCTTTCATGCATCATATCCATTCAAGCAATCCTGAAATATTATGTGTGCAATTGTGCCCCATTCCCACCTGCAATAATTTGATTAGAAACAATTAATTTGCTCTGGGTAATTATGAGTGAGATGCATGTAGGAAGTGATGGCAAATTATGATTAAAAAGTGGTAGGTTTCTCTTTTGCCCCTTAAGACTTGCTCATGGGTCCAGTTATGAGATAAAAAAAAAAAGAAAAAAGGAAAAAAAAACCCTCATGATAAGGAGCAACTCAAGGTAAGGAAAGACCTCCATGCTTATTACTTGAGGAGTTCTTTCTCTGGGTTCCAGGAGGGGTGAAGCCAGTTCATACAGTGTTGGGGACACATCAACAGGGCTAGTAAAGATGGAGAGCACCATCTTTAGAGCATTTCCAGGCATAATCAGGATTCCAGGACCTGGTGTCTGGAGGATGAAAACAACTCATGGGCCCCGGAACAAAAGGTGATGTCCCTTCTGATGACTGAGCTGGCCTGACTCTACCCACACTGCACTCATGAGGGGCCAGGGGGTGTCTGATGGCAACTGGGGAGATGGATTTTTGCCATCATGAACATGCTCCCACCTTCCTGCCCCTTGCTGCCACAGGGGAGGGTCAGGAGTGCCCTGGGAGCAAACACAGCCTGCTTTGCTGTCAGTCCAATATTTCAACAAAGAGTCAATTTCTACTCCAGCTCTGAACATTCAAGGTCAGAGCCCTTGGAGCCAGTGACCGAAAACCCCGTTGAATCCCAGAGCAAAAACACGTCCTCTCTCTGATCTAGGTTGACTGGTTCTCCTTAATGAGGGTGATTAGAGTGTGGAGAACACACTCTTTGAATACAGAATCAGGATATGTGTTCTATTAGGTGCCACCTCATTAAGGAAACAAAAGCATTTGAAGTTAGGAGGGTCTCAGAATGTCCAGGCCCTGCACCTGTGAGGAAACAACACAATAAAGACACACAATGAGCCATGCCAGTCCGCATATGCATGCACCGTGGGCAGACACACACCAGTGCTCAATCCTGAGCCACTGCTGCATACCAGGCTCCGTTCTCAGCACTGGGTGTGCAGCAGTGAGCCAGGCGAGAGTGACATGGGAATATTGTGTGAAGCCAAGGTTTGGAGGATGGTACTTTTTTTTAATCCACCACTCTCCCTCCACCCTCTAGTAGTCCACAGTGTCTGTTCTCATCTTTATGTCCATGTGTGCTCAATATTTAGCTCTCAGCCGGGAGCAGTGGCTCACGCCTGTAACCCCAACCCTTTGGGAGGCCGAGGCAGGCAGGTTGCTTGAGGCCAGGAGTTCAAGACCAGCCTAGCCAACATGGTGAAACCCTGTCTCTACTAATATTACAAAAAAATTGCCGGCCGTGGTGTTGCACACCTGTGATCCCAGCTGTTTGGGAGGCTGAAGCATGAGAATTGCTTGAACCTGGGAGGCAGAGGTTGCAGTGAGCTGAGATTGTGCCACTGCATTCCAGCCTGGGCAACAAAGCAATAGACTGCCTGAAAAAAAAAAAAAAATATATATATATATAGCTCCCACTTGTAATTGAGCACATGTGATATTTGGTTTTCTGTTCCTTCCTTAATTTGCTTAGAATTATGGCCTCCAGCTCCACCCATGTTGCTGCAAAAGATCTGATCCTATTCTTTTTGATGGCTGTGTAGTATTCTGTGCTATATATGTACCACATTTTCTTTATCCAATCTACCATCGATGAGCACCTGGGTTGATTCCACGTCCCTGCTATTATGAATAGTGCAGCGATGAACACACAAGTGCATGTGTCTTTTTGGTAGAATGGTTTATTTTTTACAGCACAAACCCCTCGAGGACCAGTGGAACTCAAAACAGTGGCTGCTTCTGCTTACAGTCCCCCCTTATAGTCACTGAGGTTGTAAGCTTGTTTGACACCTCAGCATAAACTAGTGTGTTTGGAATGTTGCAGAGATAATGCTAAGATAAAGGAAAAGAGGGATAGTGTGAAATGAGAGGATTCTGTAGAGATGGGTGTAAAGGAGAGCTTCTCAGAGGGTGTAAAATTTGAGATGTGACCTCAGGGTTTGAAAAAATGGAAACAGGCTGGCCATGGTGGCTCATGCCTGTAATCCCAGCACTTTGGGAGGCTGAGGAAGGTGGATCACTCGAGGCCAGAAGTTCAAGCCAGCCTGGCCAACATGGTGAAACCTCATCTCTACAAAAATGCAAAAATTAGCCGGATGAGCCGGTGCACACCTGTAATCCCAGCTACTTGGGAGGCTGAGGCACAAGAATTGCTTGAACCCAGGAGGCAGAGGTTGCAGTGAGCTGAGATCATGCCACTGCACTCCAGCCTGGGCAACACAGCGAGACTCTGTCTGAAAAGAAAAAAAAAAAAAGAAAGAAAACAAAAAGGGAACACAAGAGCAAAACCCTCAGGTAGCAATAGCTTCTCACGTCCAAGCATTCTCCACACACAGGCACACATGCAATCACACCAATACACATGCACATTCATACACAAAGACACAGATGGAGAGAGACAAGCAAGACGTGGGGATGATGAAGGGCTGCTCTGTGGCCCCCATGCACACGCATCCAGGAGATCCACACCATCAGTCGTACAGGTCCTTTTAGTAAAACATCTCCCAATCCAAACAGTGGCTGCATTTTCCACAGAGCAGTATGAACTCTGGTTCTTTTCTGGCTGTGGAGACTTAACACCATCTTATTGACCATTAGCATATATTAAAAGCAAGATACACTTCAAGCACTTAAGTAGCTACAGAACTGAGCAGTGCAGGCTTTCCCAGTCAGGTGTGGTTTACTACTCTGACCACGGTTCTGAGACTTAGTGCTTTAAATTGCATCCACCTGAGTATCTTCCAAGTACCTGGACCACATACCTTTTTCATTTACATGTCAAAATTACCCTCTGAGGGAGCTTTATGACTGTCAAATGACACATGAGGAAATAGGCTTGGAAAAGTTAAGTGAGTTGCCCAAGTTATCACAATTAATAAGAAATTGAACCAGGATTCAAGGTAATTCTGACTTCAAAACTTTGTTACTTCTACTTTTCGACGTTGCCTCTGTGCTAGAACCATAATCAGTTTGAGGCTTGCTTTTCTGACCCTGCCGAGAAACTAGAGATTCTGCATACCTGTAGATGATTAGCTAGTCAATTTATCTCACCCTTCAAAAGGAGGGTGGTTAACACACAGTGGACATAACCTCCATCCATACACAGTAACTTACAGGGCTACGTGATTTGCTTTCTTTCCCTCTGATGGAACCATCCTCAGGTCTTCAGACTCCTAACGATCAAGAGTAGATGAAAACTGTTGCATCTTTGCTTTAAAATTTCAAAAGTACCATTGTCCTCTTTTGGGCATAGTGATACTCAGGTATCACTTTTGGACAGAGTGATACTTCAGGCATCACCAAACTAATCTATGTTTCCTGGGTTCAAACTAAAAGGAAGAAAAAATTAATAAATCTCCCTAAGGCAACCCAGAATACCCTGGCCTTAAATTCCATCCCAGACCATTCTGTTCATCTGTTCAATTGACCTGAGTCACAGAGTCATCATTAAAGACATTTTCCTAGTCGAGAAGCTGAGGTGGGAGGATTGCTTGAGCCCAGGAGTTCAAGGCTGCAGTGAGCTAAATGAGCTATGATTGTGCCACTGCACTCCAGCTTGGGAGACAGAGCAAGACCCCCATCTCTAAATAAATAAAGACATTTCCGAACTGCAGGATGAGGTAAGTTTGACTTCCCATCTCTTTGGGTAGCCAGCCATTCTGCTCCCATCTCACTCTTTTTCTGTTGTTGGTTCTCATGAGGGTGGACAAATAAAAATAAAACATATAGGAGCTAAATGACCTAATTCAAGCCTTGATAGATTTATTTGCCTTTACTCATACAGACTATAAAGAATCTTAACCCAAAGTAGCCAGAAAAGGAAGAGGTACATGTGAAAGCCTCCATATATTAACAATATAGTTTGGGGAGCTTAAAGCAAATGGCAGCATTCACCTTTCCAGGACCTTGGCCAACAAGCCTGTGGTGCTCTAACATCTTCTCAGCAAGAACAGCAAGAATGGACTCCAGGCATCGGGACTGCACCTCCAAGTCCAGTAGCTCCTCCAAGCCTTGATCTTCAGCAATGATGAGCCGCCTCCCAGGACTCCTCTCTGTCCTAAGGAAATTAAGTCTTACCAACTAGAATCCATCTCAACTCATCTGAACCCTGACTGGTGCCCTCTGAGCTCCCCCACCCCAAGATAAGCCAGGGTGGTTTTTTACTTACAGGATAAAAAGACATTGCATGCAGATGGCCTAATCTCAGTCACTTCTCTGTTGAAAAGTCAGGCCATTTATTTCTAATACATGCTGAGAACCACATTCAAAATGTGATTAAACACCACCAGCCAAGAATGGCCATTATGCTTAACAGACTTATGAGGAGAGTTGCAAACTACACATAGAGTAAATGGGATGTTTTAAATTACACTAGATGGTCTATCTTCATTTTTTTTTAGTGCAATGGTTTGTTACATGCAGACCTAATAATGCTAAATAGTGAAATGCCAAGTCTCAGCTCTTAATAGCCTCATTTAAATTAAATTTATATTTATTGTCCTCCTAATTATTTTCCCAGCCATCTGACCAGGACACTTTCCTATGCCATGGCGAAAAGGCTGTCTCCCTACCACGGGGTTAATTAAAATACATTGCTTCTTGAGAATTCAAAATGATGTGGTAGAGAACTTGGCAACAGACTTTCCACTAAAGCCTTTTATTTTCTTTCAAAGATCACATTTTAGAAATTGCTTAAAAATTGCAAATGAGTCATTTAGACCATAGACCATATTTTTAATTGCAAGCACAACCTCCAATGGACAGCATCATTGAGATACTTTCCTTCCAAGGCATCTGTCCAGAGTCATATAAAATATCACCCCTGTAATCTTCCCACAGAACTCTCAAGAGTCTCTCTGGTTAGACCCATTCATATTCAGCAAACAGTCCCTGAGCACCCAGAGACAAAGGCTTTCAGCCTGGATCCAGGCACTAGGAGTGAATCTACTCTACACTTGAAGTATATATATGTATTGTGAAACTGTGGCACTAGGCACATCAGTTACTGCAGGGTGCATGTGTTGGTTGCCACATACTTCTAATGACAGCTCTGCTCTCAGTCCACATGGTATGGGTGGGGCTGACCCCCCTCTCCAGGTACAGAAGAGAGCCTATGGCTTCTACTCAGCCGACCAGAGCATTGCATCTGCCTAGGCAGAGATGGGCATGGGACCCCATGGTGGAAAAGCTTCATGTGCAGGATGTTAAAAGAATCTTTTAGGAATTGTAGAAGAGCCCATGCCTCTTCTAGGATTTAAAGCTATAGGGTTGAGAGCCTGGAATTCTAGAAGTTGGTCCATGAATGGGGTATGCTTGAAAATAAACCCAACCCAGAAGGAGGCAGAGTCAAGAGACGGCGGAAGAGTTGGCTTAGATGTCAACATTTAAGACCCTGGATCTGGTTATGCTCGGTTTTTGTCTGTTTATTTGTTTTAATATAGACTTTATTTTTTAGGACAGCTTTAGGTCCACAGCAAAATTGAGAAGATACAGAGATTTCCCATATACATCTTATGCTCCCCAATTCACTCCGCCTCCCTACTGTTGACAAGCCATGCCATAGCGGTGCACTTGTTGCAGTCAATGAACACACATGGTCACATTATCATCACCCAAAGCTCATGGTTTATATTCAGGTTCTTTCACATTGTTCATCCTACAGGTTTTGTCAAATGTACCAGGACATGTGGACCATACAGAATAGTTTCACTGACCCCTGGCAACCAGTGATTTTCTTCCTGTCTCCATAGCTTTGCCTTTTGCAGAATGTCCTAGAGTTGGAATCATACCGTATGCAGCCTTTTCAGACTTGCTTCTTTCACTTAGCAATATGCACTGAAGGAACCTCCATGTTCTTTTCATGACTTTATAACTCATTTATTTTTAGCACTCAGTAATATTCCATTGTCTGGATAGGTCACAGTTTAGTTATCATTCATTCATCAAAGGGCATCTTGGTTGCATCCAAGTTTTGTCAATTATGAATAAAGCTGCTGTCAACATCCATGTGCAGGTTGTGCTGTGGGCATACATTTTCACCTCCTTTGGGTGCCTGGACATTTTAGCCTGTGACCTATCATTATCTTTATTTATAAGCCACTAAGAGTCAGGTTTTCTATCATTTGTAATCACAGGAGTACTGACATGCACAGTTACATTCCAGGTTAATGCAATTGAGCCAGAAAGTGTCTGTGTGGCCTCAGATAAGACACTAACCCTCATTCAGCCTCAGTTTTATTATCTTTAAGAAGGGATAGGGATATTCTTACTCACCATATCACAGAATTGTTACAAAGACCAGGTAGAACAGCCTGCAATGTTCTTAGCAAGGTGCATCACGACAGGCTGTGAGTACTGGCGGCATTAAACACACCCCACACTTCTGCATAACTGAGCTCATCTCAGATTACACAGGGGCAGAGACTCCCTCCACTTCACAGCTCCAGGCATCATGTGAAGGATCGGGGCATTTCAACTGAGGCCTTTCATGCTACTTAATAATGCTTAATGATGACAAGACATCATCAGGAAACAGAGATCACCATACCAGGCCAGCTTCAAAAGAGGACTTAATCCAGAATCATTTGGCCCAGTGCCTCCCCCCCCAGTTTCAGAATCATCTGAATCACCCTCAGTGGGTGGAGGCACTGGGGCAGATGATTCGGAGTTAAGTCCTCTTTTGTTAAAAGATAATAGAGCCAGGCATGGTGGCTCACACCTGTAATCCCAGCACTTTGGGAGACCGAGGCATGCGGATCACTTGGGGTCAGGAGTTCAAGACCAGCCTGGCCAACATTGTGAAACCCTGACTCTACTGAAAATACAAAAATTGGCTGGGTGTGATGGCAGGCGCCTGTAATCCCAGCTACTCCGGAGGCTGAGACAGGAGAATCGCTTGAACCTGGGAGGCTTAGGTTTCAGTGAGCTGATATCGCACCACTGCATTCAAGCTTGGGCAACAGAGCAAGACTCCGTCTCAAATAAATAAATAAAAGATAATAGATATGCCCCCATTCCCTTCAAAAGAGCAAATATTTTTGGAGTGTCTGCATGTGTTAGCCAATATTATAGACACTGTAAATACAGAAGTAAGTAAAACAGGGGAAAAAAATTAAAACCTACTATTTCAAACTTATATTCTAGTCAGAAACAGGGGATAAATAATAAACAATAAAAATAAATAAACATTGCTTTGCTTATTTCAATAGTTTTTGGGGTACAGGTGTTTTTTGGTCACATAGCTAAGTTTTGTAGTGGTGATTTCCGATATTTTAGTGCAGCCATCACCTGAGAGTGTACATTGTACCCAATACATAGTCTTTTATCCCTCACCTCCCTCCCAGCCTTCCCTCATGAGTCCCCAAAGTCCATTTTATCATTCTTATGCCTCTGTGTCCTCATAGCTTAGCTCCCATTTATAAGTGAGAACATATGATGTTTGGTTTTCCATTCTTGAGTTACTTCACTTAGAATAATGGCCCCCAGCTCCATCCAAGTTGCTGCAAAAGACATTATTATATTTCTGTTTTGTGGCTAAGTAGTATTCCATGGTGTAGACATACCACATTTTCTTTATCCACTCGTTGGTTGATGGGCACTTAGGTTGGTTCCACATCTTTGCAATTGCGAATTTGCTGCTGTAAACATGCGCATGCAAGTGTCTTTTTCTTATTTATTTATTTATTTATTTATTTATTTATTTATTTATTTATTTTTCTGACATGGAGTCTCGCTCTGTCACCCAGGCTGGAGTGCAGTGGCACGATCTCGGCTCACTGCAAGCTCTACCTCCTGGGTTCGCGCCATTCTCCTGCCTCAGCCTCCCGAGTAGCTGGGACTACAGGCACCCGCCAACACGCCCGGCTAATTTTTATTTTTTATTTTTTTAGTAGAGACGGGGTTTCACCGTGTTAGCCAGGATGGTCTCGATCTTCTGACTTCAGATAATCTGCCCGCCTCAGCCTCCCAAAGTGCTGGGATTACAAGCGTGAGCCACCAGGCCCGGCCATAAGTGTCTTTTTCATATAATGACTTCTTTTCCTTTGGGTAGATACCCAGCAGTGGGATTGCTGGAATGAATGGCACAGAAAATAAGCAAAACTTGGAAAGGAAAATAGGAAGTGTTGGGGTAGGGGGTGCCTAGGGCATGGTGTGGCCTCACCTAGGAGGTAACTCCCGAGTCAGTGTGAGGGAGAGAGTCATGCAGATATCAGAGGAAGAGCATCCCAGGCACAGGGAGTGGAAGTACAAAGGCCCTGAGGTATGTGGCTGGAATACGTAAGAAAAAGCAAGTAGGTCCGGATGTCTGTGGTGGAGTTGGCTTCACCAAGTGGGGCGGTGGTAACTGATGCGATCAGAGATAATGAGGAATGAAGGGTAAGGACAGATAAGCCTTTTAGGACTTTGAGAACCATTCATGAAATTTACATATTTTAGGGAAGATGAACAAGAAGAAAATACACATATGTTCAAACATCTAGTTTTAGATCATGGTAAATACATGGAAGCAATAAAGCAAAATAAATGGATATACTAGACCAGGGTTCAATTCAGATTCACATATTGCATTTGGTTGTCCTGTCTCCTTAGTTTCTTAGTTTTGTAGGGCTTTGTTTTACAGGACTCCTTACTTTTATAGGACTTTGGATCTTTCTCTGAGTGAGAAGAGAGGCATTAGAGAATTTAACAGAATCACTCTGGTTGGTATATTGTCCGTAGACTGTTGGGGGTAAAGGCAGAAATAAACCAGTGATGAGGATACGGCAGGGGTCCAGGTTAGAGATTGTGGGCACTTGGACCAGGAGTAGCAGTGGAGGGGAAGCGGTAATTGGATCTTGGATTAGCACTGGCAGGATTTATTGATGGAGTGAATATGGAAGGAGAGAGAATTCTAGGATGACCCCAAGGTCTTCATCTGTGCCACCAAAGTGACGAAGAGAGATATGTCTGAAGGTACTTTCAGATCCACTACCTTCAGAAAAATTCTACCAGAATTTAAGATTTAAGATTCAGTTCTGATAGGTCACGTTGAAAAAGACCTCTTTTTTCTCCATCACTGGAACCACAGTACATAGTCGGGCATACATTGGGTGATCAGATCAGCATCATTTGTGCAACTTAATTTTTTTCAAATATTACAAAATTCAAGATTGCAAGAGGACAAACTAAAGCCTCTTGCAGCATATGTAAATATGACTTAGATTTTGGCTGTTTTTCCTACGACCCCAGCCAAGGTGGGCACCGTGAAGGAAGTTCTCAGAATAATTACTACTGGAGTAAGTCTAGTCATGCCAATGCCGTCTTCATTTACTAAACGGATGAGCCCAAACGGGAGAATGTGCAGGGCTAGGACACCAGAGAAGGAAAATCAATGCCTTTTATGCCTATACCATATATAGGTTTCCAGACCCAACGGAGAGCTATACTCTTGAAAATATCCACAACTCTCAAAGTCCAGAAACTCTATTCTTCTGAGTTATGCTGCTCAAACTCTACATTACTGCTGCAGCAGGAGGATCACTTGAACCCAGGAGTTCCAGGCTCCAGTGAGCTACGATCACACCACCGCACTCTAGCCTGGGCAACAAAGTGAAACTCTGTTTCTAAAACGTCTTTTTACACGTGGATTATCTGCTGCTGAGGGTGAGGAGAGTTGGGGATTCACTGAATTCCAGAGTTTGCAAGACAGAAAGTACTGGAATGTAGAAAATGTGTTCAAAGACACAATGACCCAGGGTCCAATCCAGAAGCTCTCACCAGCTCTGAAGTAAGCCACTGGCCTTCCTGATGCCAGGAATTCAGTAAGTGTTTTACTGAATGAGTGGACCCACAGCTAATCAAGGGAGCAAGCTTGCTTCTGACACTGCCTGGTACTAGCAAAGATATTGTACATTGCGATCTTGCAACTGATCCAAAGGCAGCATTAAGAATACAGCACTGGCTGGGCGTGGTGGCTCATACGGGTGCATCATCTGAGGTCAGGAGTTTGAGACCATCCTGGCCAACATGGCGAAACCCTGTCTCTACTAAAAGTACAAAAATTAGCCAGGTGTGGTGGTGTGTGCCTGTGATCCCAGTTACTAGGGAGGCTGAGGCATGAGAATCACTTGAACCCGGGAGGCAGAGGTTGCAGTGAGCTGAGATGGTGCCACTGCATTCCAGCCTGAGCAACAGAGCAAGACTCTGCCAAAAAAAAAAAAAAAGAAGAAGAAGAGAAGAAGAAGAAGAATACAGCACCGGGCCACCTGCGATGCTCATTTTAGAGAATCATAGTTTAGCTTTCCTCCTGACCTAAGTGCCAGCACCATTGACAACATGCATGAAGGATATAACCTCAGTCAGTAGCTGCAGAAAAGAAAGAGAGCATGAGCCATTTTTGACTCCAAGTATCATCATTTCTCACCTGCACATCGCCCAAATCTCCTAAATGGCCTCCCTGATCTGACCATCTCCCTTCTCCCAGCTACTCTCCACCTAACAGCCAGGGGAAAATGCAAATATGATCACCACACAAGAAATCCTCCACTGGCTTCCCATTGTTCTTTTGCTTTTTCAGCTTTACTGAGAGATAATTTCATAAAAGTTGTATATATTTAAGGTGTACAACTTGATCATTTGTTATACATAGATACTGTAAAACTGTGATTATCACAGTTAAGCTAATTAATACACCCATCGCCTCACAAAAGTAGCATTTTTATGTGTGGTGAAAACACTTAAGGTCCAACTTCTTAGCAAATTTCAAGTAGACAAGATAGAATTGTTAACTGTAGTCATCATACTGTGTATTCTATGTCTGGAATGTATTTATCTTGCATGACTGAAACTCTGTGATCCTTGACCAACATTTTCCCATTTCCTCCACTCTCCAGCTCCAGGCAATCACCATTTTATGCTCTATTTCCATGGGTTTGACTATTTTTGATTCCACATAGAAGGGAAATCACTTAGTATTTGTCTTTCCCTGTCTGGCTTATTCATTTAGTATAACATCTACATTCATCTATATTGTCACAAATTTCAGGATTTCCTTCTGTACTAAGGCTGAAAAATGTTATACTGTCTGTATATATAAGATTTTCTTAACAGTCATCTATCAACAGACATGTAGGTTGTCTAGGCAGTTGTGAATAACACTGAAATGAACATAGAATGAAGATATCTCTTTAACATACTGATTTCCATCCTTTGAATATATACCCAGAATTGGGATTGCTGAATCATTGCATAGTTCTATTTTAATTTTTTGAGGAAACTACATAATGTTTTCCATAATGGTGGTACCAATTTACATTTCACCAACAGTGTGCAAGACTACCCTGTTCTCCACATCCTTGCCAACATCTGTTATCCTTTGTCTTTTTGATAATAGCCATCCTAACAGGTGTAAGGCCATATCTCACTGCAGTTTTGATTTGCATTTTCCTAATAATTAGTGATGTTGAGCACCTTCTCATATATGTTCTGGTCATTTTTACATCTTCTTTTAAGAAATGTCTGTTAAGGGCCTTTGCTTATTTCCCTTGAGATATAATCCAAGTGCCTGAATCTATCCTACAACTACAGCACGAGTAGCTCCTTCTTATGGCCCCAGCCTCAAATCCACCACTCTTTGTGCACCACAAACCTCCAGCCACACACATCCGATTTCAGGTCCTCCAACCCCCACTCCTTCCAGCCACTGAGCCTTTGCACAGGCAGTTCCCTTTGACCTGACCACACCAAATCTCCCTATTGCAGGTTCTTAGAGCAATGCGTACCTCCTTTTCATTTTTGTGATGATATGGATAATGTGTGCAGCTCTCACTACTTGCTTTTTGAAGCACAATTTTACCATATGTACTGTTGTATTGTTAATGTCTGTCTCTGTGCCTGGTACTCAGATGGCAATCAACTACTAGTTGAATGAAAGAATGGGTGAATAATAAATATCATATCCCAGGTACATTATAGGCATTATCCCTAATCTTTATGATAAAAGCCTGCAGTAGGTTGTCTAAATTTTCTGATTTTATAGAAGAAAATGAGGCTCACAGAAATTAATTAAATTAACCAGGATTTAACAGGTGTTAAGGTTCCATGAATGTCAATTAGGCCTAGGTGATTTATAATGTTTTATAGGTTTTATATATCCTAGTTAATTTTCAGCCCACTCATTCCATAAATTACTGACAAAGGAGTACTGATGTCTTCAAGTGTAGTTGTGGACTTGTATATTTCCTCTTTCAATTCTATTCATTTTTCTTCATGTATTTTGTAGCTCTGCTAATAGATGCACACATTTATTTCTGTTATATCTCCTTGGTGAAATGACCATTTTATCCTAATGTACTGACCTTCTATAATCCTGATAATTTTCCTTGTTCTAAAGTCTACTCTTTCTGATATTAATTTAACTCATCTTTCCTTTGCTCTGTACTTGCAAGGTATATTTTCTGCTAGCCTTTTACTTTTAGCCTATCTATGTCATTATTATAAATGGGTTTCTTATAGATCATGTATAATTGGTTCTTTCATGAATTCATCTTATGATCTCTATCTTTTGGTTGGTGAGTTAAGATCATTTAGATTTTATGTAAGTGTTGATAAGATTACATTCAGGTTTACCATTTTATTATGTGTTTTGTTTGCCCCTTCTTGTGTTTGTTTTATAATAAAAACTACTTAAGAAAATCAACAAAAAATGTTATTACTCAAGTGTCAGGAAAGGTGGAAGCTGACTAATCTATGTTGGCTTTGACTGGACCACTCTGCCTCATTTGTCTTTTATACTCCTCCTGGGACATTAGACCATTCTTTCCTTGTTCTTCTCACAGAGCAGGCAGAAGCTCAAAAAGCAAGTGAAAACACACAAGGCTTCCTAAAGCCCAGGCTTTGATTGGGCAAAGCAACACTATCACTTCATTCTGTTGGGCAATGCAAGGAGCAAAATGAACCAAAATTCAAGGGGCCTGCATACATACCTCCGCTTTAGGGGAAGGAAATAGTAAGTCAAGTGATAAAGGAACCAACATATCAGTCTACCGCAGTTCTGTAACCAGATAACCAGACATAGTTAGATGGACCAGATACTAGGTTGATGTCCAATAACACCTACAACAGACATAGAGAGGAAAGTTTGATTATAAACAGTAAGTTATATTGTGGGCCACAATGATCAATTAACAAATGGTCTTTTTTATTAACTAAAGTCACCAAAGATAGCATATTCCATCCAATAGTTTTATACTAAGAGGAAAGACAGAAGGTATGCTACTTATACCTTTCTTGGTAAAGGTAAGAATTACTATTTTTTTCTTCCATACCAGGAAGTTAGATGTAAATGTCTCTAGACCTGTGTTATTTCATGTGTTAGCTTCAATATCCATATGGCCATCTAAATTGAAATTAATTTTAAAAATAAAAATTTAGTTAATTGATTGCACCAGCCACGTTTCAGTGGCTTGGTTGTCACAAGTGACTATTGGCTACCATATTGGATAGCATGCGTATAGAACATTTACATCGTTGCACAAGGTTCTGTTGGACAGTACCCCTCTGGAGCATTACAGTATCATAGGAGGCTTTCATGAAGCCTCTTTTGATGTTACCACTGTACAACCTACAGGGATAAAAGTGGTCACAGAATTCAGTGCTGGTTTTTAAGTTGACAAGTCAGCATCAGTTGCTCATGTAATACTGTCATCTACTCTGCATCCTGTAGTTACACCAAAATGTATTTTGGTTAATATTTGGGGAGAGAAAATGATAACAAAAAGTGTAAAAAATAAGGAAAAATATGATGTATAGTGTAAAAGAATGAGAAAATGACTTTTTCAAACAATAATGAAATAATTTAATACAGAAAGCTGACTACAAGTTGGAACATCTATTCCCAGGAACCACTGTCATTTAAAACTTGACTTTCTCATGCAGATAACTCTGTAGAAACAAATCTGAAAATGTATGCTAACTCTATGTATCATGTTGAGACTCGATCAAAATGGAAAGAAATAATTTGTGTAGGATACCTTAAAACTAATCTTCCTCATCACACACATTTTTACTGGTGGAAGGATGAGAATTTATGGAATATTGAGGGTATTTGAGAAGAGGATGCCTAGGTACTTATAATCAGACCCAGGAAATTTTAATCTGATTTAATACCAGCTCTATTAGAACCAAGCTCTCACCTATTTCATGCAAATGATAATTTATGTCTTAATGGCCCAAACACTTTACCTCCCACTGTGTTTTCAATCAAACTTAAATTTATATCCCTCTTTTTTAGAATACTATATATTTTACTTGCACTTAGAGATGGCTGAATGAATTATAAAAAGTTTCAAACTCAAAAGCAATCCTAGCCTAATTTTTAAAGTTTGTCAAAAAAAAAAAACTGAGCCAAGCAGACAGAAAAGTGATACAATTATTCTGATTTATGGTCTATATTTTCTCTGTCTCACTTAACCACTCTTATCCCTTACAAAAGGGAATTCAGCAGAATTATGTAGCCAAGAGAGATAACACTTTCTTCAGCTTCTTTTTATTTCTCAGTAAAATATCATCATGTTCTGAATGTTGGTGTCCCCCACCCCAAATTCATATATTGAAACCTAACCCTCAATGCAACAGTATTAAAAAGTGGGGCTTTTAGGAGATGATTAGGTCATGAAGGCAGAGTCCTTGTGAATGGAATTAGTGCTCTGGTAAATGAGGCCCCAGGGAGCTCATTAGTCCCTTCCACCATGTAAAGACACAGCCAGAAGCCACATCTCGGCTTTTGTTTTCTTCTTTGGTCTTTTGATGGAGGGTATGTAAAGACAGTCCGTTGTTCTTATTTTTTCATAGATCCTTTGTAAATAAAAATAATGTCCTTAACATTATGATTGCATTGCGTTTGGCATTTTATGAAACTGACAAACTGTTTTTACAAAGTAAAATACCATTTTACATTCCCGCCAGCAGGGTTTGAGAGTTGGAGTGCCTCCACATAACTGGCTAACACTTGGGAAGGTCAATTTTCATTCTAGGTACTCTAATAGATGTGTAGTGGTATCTCACTGTGGATTTAATTTTCTTAATTTCTCATTTTCTTAATATCTCATGATGTTAAACCATGTGCTTAATTTACCATCTGTACATCTTCTTTAGTACAACACTTTCTTAAATAACTTGCTCACATTTAAGGGGTTGTTTGTTTTCTTATTAAGTTTTGAGGGTTCTTTATATATTCTGAATACAAGTCATTTATTAAATATGTGATTTTTCAATTATTTTTCACAGTCTGAGACTTGTCTTTTTTCCCCTTAGTTTTAGCAGTCTTTGCTATTAGAAAGCACTCTTGCAGATGAAAGATGGGAAAAGGTGAATTTTCAAACTGCATCAAGGGTATTTTGTCAGTAATGGGTTTTGGAGTAAAGTTAAAATTAATAATAGCTCTTGCTTTATTTAGTTAGTGTATTTATTTCTGGAATATTTGACACTGGCTATAATTTAAAATGGGAAGCCATTTACATGCAGTTTTTGATGAAGCTGGAATGACAATTAAATTAAAAAACAATATTCTTTTAAAAAAATAATACTAGAACAATGTAATAGCCATACGCAAAAAATAAACTTTGATCCACATTTCATGCCATATGCAAAGATTAACTCCAAATGGATCCCAAATATAAATGTGAAATCTAAAACTATTGAATTTCTTGAAAAAAAAGTGAGAAAAACTTTTGCATCCTTGAGTTAGTCTAAGTTTTCTTAGGTAAAATACAGAGTACGTTTGATTTAAAAAAAAAAAAAAGAAAAAAAAACCTTGGGGAAGTGTTACTCACCTGGATTATGATGTAAATGTGCCCTCTACAGTTGTGCAGTATGCAACCAGCACATCTGTATTTGATGGCCCTGCATCTGTGCCTTTGTTAGGATGAAAATAAGCAACTATTCTAAAGCCTTTATGCTGAGTTGGAGACATAATTCAACTTTGGCTCACCAGTATAAAAAGGGCCTTAAAAGTAAGTACAGTTTAGGACCGCATCTGCTTGCATGGAAATGGCGCTGGTCTAAGAATTCTGAGACTTTCAATCTTTTTCCCTTTTTGCCACTATCTTGGGAAGATTGAGCAACTTGCTTCCATTCTCTGAACCTCAGTTTTACCATCTACAAAAATGAGGAGAATGGACTAGATGTACTCTAAGGGCCCTCTGAGACCAGCTTTTCCTTGGGGGCAGAAGAAGAGTGGAAGCTCTGAAGTGAGGCCTGGGTGGATCCACCAGTACTGTCATGACCTGCGGAGGGGCTGCTGCCATGCCCAGGTAGGACTCCCCCACAGGAGGTGGGTACCAGTCCTGACTGTTATACATGTACGAAGTACACAATGAGAGGTGGAGGATGTTTCCTGGAGTCACTAAGCTAATAACGCATAGGGTTGTGTTTTCAATCCAAGAATTTAAATTCCGAAGCAGATGATCATGACCCCTATGATGCTGCTTCCTCCAGCTCCATAACCTGATGCTCAGATAGTTCAGCCTCCCAAAACCAATCTCTGTCTCCCTGCCTCAGAAACCACCATGTTCTATAAACTTGGAATCCCCTTTCTGCATTGCACACTGGCCAGCGCCCCAGGCAGAAAGCTGGAACAATTGCAAGACTCACCACAGGCATTTCTCTTTTTACAGGAGTCACAGAATTCTTCTGCCTAATGTCCAATGTCTGAAAACATTACAATATATATATAATCATATAAATATATTATTAATATATGAAAATGAAGAAATATTTTATTTATATATGTATACAATGATGCATCATTTAATGATGGGGATACATTGTGAGAAATCTGTCATTAGGAGATTTTGTCATTGTGTGAACATTGTAGAGTATACTGACACAAACCTAGACCCTAGACGGACTAGCCTACTACACACCCAGGCTATATGGAATAGTCTGTCACTCCTAGGCTACAAGTCTGTGCAGCATGTTACTGTACGGAACACTGAGGGCGACTGCAACATAATGGTAAGTATTTGTGTAGCTAAACATAGAAAAGGTACAGTAATAATATGTTATAAAAGAAAAAATGATACACATGTGGGGGGCACTAACCATGAATGAAGCTTATAGGACTGGAAGTTGCCCTGGGTGTCAGTGAGTGAGGGGTGAGTGAATGTGAGGCCCAGGACATTACCATATACTACTATGGACTTTGCAAACACTGTCCACCTAGGCAACATTAAGTTTATTTATTTTGCCTTCAGTGATAAGTTAACCATAACTTACTACACAATGATTTACTTTATAAACGCTTACTTTTTAAAGACATTTAGACTCTTTTTAATAAAACTTAGCTTAAAACACATATTGTACAGCTGTACAAAAGTATTTTCTTTCTTTGTATCCTTATTCTATAAGCATTTTTATTTAATTTTATTAGTTTTTAAACTTTCTATTGAAAACTAAGACACAAACACGCATATTAGCCTAGGCTACATTTTCCTTACAGATGTTCCATTTGAAAGGGTTTCCAAAATTCAAAAGAACCAGGGAAGGGGAGAGAAGAAATGACAAAGAACTTTCTGTCACCCTCAGATATTTTGATATCATTCAACCTCACCTCCAAGTAGAGAAAATGACCAAAATATTTAACATTGGCAGAGCCACACTGACATTTACTAGCTACAAATGGCAGCATTTTCTTTCCAATCTGACCTGCAAGAAAAACATTCAGGTTGACAACTGACTGGAGTAAGAAGAGAGCTTTCACTTCAATTATATCTTCAATTATATCTATGTTGGACAAGAATTTGTGTTTCTCCCTTAATTTATTCTTCATGAGATGGAGCATTTAGGGAAATTAACTGTAACCATAAGGGAAGGCTGACTTACAAAAGCAAAAATAAAAAAAAAAAAATCTCAGAGGAAAATATGTACTTAAAAGTTGCCAAAGGATACAAATTATGTTGTTTTTCTGTCATATGAACAATTAGTACAGTCAGAGAAGGAGCTAATCCCAAAAATAAGACCTACATTCATAGCTCATTTTCAAAATGACATTAACTAGGATCTCGTATTTACAACATCTCTGCTCTTTCTTGCTTCCAAACTTTAATAAAAACTAAAGATGCACTGAAGATACAGCTCATAAAGAACTTTGGTACGGTAGTTTCTGTCCAGAGAATAGAGGAGAAAACAAAGATATTTGCATTTCAGATCCATTGATACAATACAATGCACAGGAGTCTAACTCTGCCATGGGGTATCCACAGTTCTAACCAACAAATGGGGATTTTTAGCTTGTGCGTGCCTTCTGGAAATTGTCATTGAAAGATAAAATAAATTGTATTTTAATGTTGGGGACCTACAAAGCCATCTCCATCTTGGCTGCTAACTACTGTTGGAAAATGTTTCCCAGAGCAAATCTGGCTTCACCAACTGCACAGAAAATCTTATGGGAAACATGGATGAAAACTCACAGCTGCAGTGCGTGGTAAATGATACTGAATTGTTGATACCATCACACCAACACACGATTCCCAAATAGACATAAAAGAGAGTAATGTACCTTTTACTTCTGTACAAATTCCTCACTTTCCAGACAGCTATTTCATCAAACATTGTAGTTAGAGGACTTCTACTAAAAATTGGCATGGGCATGGAATGAAAGCAAAAAGTTTATCATTTTGAAGGGAAAATACAGTGGAGAGAAAAACAGGGACAGGTGTACTAGTAAGACTCTATTTCCAACTCATGTGACCTTGTACAATCATCATGTGTCTCTGCGGTTTCATATGTAAAGTTCCTGCCACACTCTGGTTGGCAGAATAAAGGACCCCCAAAGTGGTCCCCACCATAGTCCCCAGAACCTGTGAGTATGTTAGGTTACATGGCAGAGGAGAACCAAGGTTGCCAATAAAATTAACATTCCTAATCAGCTGACATTGAGATGGGAGATTATTGTGGATAATCTTGGTGAACCCAGTGCAACACAAGGGTCCTTAAAAATGGAAAAAGGAGGCAGAAGAGGAGGTTAAAGTGATACAATGTAAGAAGGACCTGAGCCACCGTGGCTGGCTTTGAAGATGGAGGAAGGCGCTACAAGTTAAAGAATGTAAGCAGCCTCTAGAAGGTGAAAAGATATGGGAAATGGACTCCCTGAAGAGCCTCCAAAGGGAAGAGAGCCCTGCCAACACCCTGAGTTTAGTCCAGTGGAACCCATACTGAATTTCTGTCCTATAGACCATACAATAATAAATTTGTGTTGTTTTAAGTCACTAAGTTAGTGGTAATGTGTTACAGCAGAATAGGAAACTAACACACTCATATACACAAATCAAAAGAATTTCTGTATCACAAAAAACCATATACATGAAAGTGCTCTGAAGAGTAGAAAGTATTGAGCAAGCAAGATTTTCTTAATATTGCTGCAAATCAATATACACTAGTGACTGACACATAAAGCAATACATAAATATCTTTTGACTTGATGTAGAATGAGGGTGAGGTAACTCTCACCAACTATGAACAATTATAAATGATTTGAATTTGTCAGCATTCCTAGAGTTTCAAGTGACAGAATTCCAAATTAGAGGGTTTAAAAAAACACACACACAAAAAGGAAAAGCCTCGGCTCATGTATTAAAATCTTCCAGAACAAGTATATCTGGATCTAAAGTAAAATAAATTTTAAAATGTCATTTTATCTCTACTTCTTTGTTAGTGTCTTCATCTTAAAAAGACTCTTTTCCCATGGTGACTCTCAGCAGCTCCAAACCCGTAACATTTTTTTCCCCAGCAATTTCAAAGCAAAGAAAATGTCTTTGACCCCAAATTCCATTAAGGTATCCAAGCTTGATCTAATCTATGTGTCCAGGGGATTAACAAAGCTGAGTGTGCAGGCCTGAGTCCTAGGGCCACACCACCTTGGGACCATGGAGTCCATCAATCCCACCTTAATAAGCAAAGGGCTGTGGTGGGAAGTGGGGATGTGCAACTGGTTCCTCAGGAGGAAGTGGTGAGGTTACTCTCTTTTTTTTTTTTTTTTTTTTAATTTATAAAGAAAGGAGCTTTAATTGGCTCATGGTTCTGCAGGCTGTACAGGAAGCATAGTGGCTTCTGCCTCTGAGGAGGCCTCAGGAAGCTTCCAATCATGGTAGAAGGCAGAGTTGGAGTGAGGAGCTTCACGTGGCCAGAGCAGGAGGAAGAAAGAGAGTGGGGAGGTGCTACACACTTTTATTTTACTCTCAGTTTCTTAAGAGAGACACAGATAGCAGGAAAAAGCATTGTTCTCACTTTACGGTGATGGAAAGCTAGACCAAACACCATGTTGTCAACTTTTCTCAAACCCGTCAGAGAGCTAAGTTCACAAAGCAAACAACAGGACCTCAAATCTAAGGAGAAGCAGGTAACATAAGGATAGACAAAGTGTGAACCTGGACTTAAACGGGGCAGATGGCCATGGATACTAGTAAGGGGAGGTTGGCTGGGTTGACTGGCAAATGGTGAAGGCCAAGAGCACATTGGTGAGATAGTGTGAAGTCACCGACCACCACAGAAATCCAGAGTCTGAACTGCCTTCAGGGTTTTTCTCCAAAAACTCTAACAGGCACTCACAGAAAACATTAGAGAGAGTTCTAAGGAAGTCTCATTTAACAGGGCTGAGGACGTGTATTGAGATCACTTGTAAAAGTAACAAATATGTAAACAAAAGCATAGAGAATTATAGGAAATTATTGGGAATATATTGTTATAAGGAATTTATCTTACACGTGAAAGGTATAATATTATTTGGAAGTACACTCTGGTAATTCTAGATGTATATTATAAGACTTAGGGAAATCATTAAAATATTTAAAGAGGTTAAATAATAAATCAATAAAAGAGACAAAATGAAATCATAAAAATTTTCTCTGTGAGCCAAAAAAATGAATGAAAACAAACCTAACAAGATGGTATATTTTAATCAAATAATGCATATAATCACATTAAATGTGCATGGCCTAAACATACCAGTTAAAAGGCAAAGGTTGTCAAATTGGGTTTACAAAGTACCTAATTATATATTGTTTAAAATAAAGCCATTAAAAAATAAAGACATAGATAGGTTAAAAGTAACTTGTACGTGGTGGGGAAAAGATATGTAATGGAAACATTAACCAAAAGAAAGTTGGAGTAGATGTATTAATATTAACATCAGGCAATGTAACTATATTGCAGGGGATAAAAAAGCATTACATAGTGACAAAGGAGTCAATAATCCAAGAAATGACCGTTCTGAATGTGTGTGATCTTAAAAATGCATGAAACAAAAACTAGTAAGAACAAAAAAAAAATTGACAAATCCAAATCCAAAATAATAACTTGATATTTTAGTGCTCCTCTCTCAATAATTAATAGAACAAATATACAGACAGTAAGTAAGGACAAAGGAAATCTGAACAAAACTATAAACTAGCAATGACCTAATTGACATTTATAGAACACCTCATCTAACAAATAATATATACACATTCTGATCAAGAACTCATGGGGCATCCACCAAGCTGGACCATTTGTTCTGAGCCACAGAAATAATCTTAGCAAGTTTAAGATAATATAAGTAAGAATACTAACTATGTACATGGATTATAACAGAATTAAACTAGAAATAGATCTGAAAACCCACTAAATATTTGGAAATTAAACATCTCACTTCTAAGTAACTTATGGGCCAAATTTGATAGAAGGCTTTTAAAATATTTTTTAACTGAATCTAAATGAAAAAAAGGCTTTAAAAATATTTTTAACTGAATCTAAATGAAAATGCTTTTGGAAAAAAAATCAAAACGTATAGGATTCAGCTAAATCAGAGTTTAAAGGAAATTTGTGGCATTAAATGCTTGTATTATATTTTTAACTATCTAAGCTTCCACCTTAGAAAATGGGAACTAGAAAAGCAAATTAAGCCCAGAAGATAAATCAAAGAGAAATGATATTCAATAATATTGAAAAAATAGATAAAAACCAATGAATCAAATCTGATTCTTGAACAGAGATTTTTCATTTCATGAGTGAATACATTTCCTTTTCTGATCAAAAACCTCTAATTTGTATTACTGTCACTTGCAACTGAATAAATCTAAAAAACTTAAAATTGTTTATAATTGTTTAAGGTTGCAAAGTATGTTCTCTTTTCTACAGGCAAGAAGGAATGGAAGGAGAGAGGGAATGTGGGAGAAAGGGAGAGAGAGAGGTAAAAATATGTATTGATGAACTCATAGCTGGATAGACCCAGAAAAAAAGAAAAAGAATACACAAGCTACCAGAATTGGCAATGAAAGAGGAGACATCATTAGCAATATTACAAACATTAAAGGGATAATAAGAGATACTAAAAACAATTTTATGTCCATAAATTCAATAACTTCAATGAAATAAACTAATTATTTTGAGAAACACAAACTATCAAAATATATTGAAGAAGAAACAGATAACCTGAATTCATACATACCTGCAAACACACATACATGTGTGTGTGCATTTGTGTATAAAATTAAATTTGTGGTTAAAAACCTTCCAACAAAGAAAACTTCAGGGCCAGATAGTTTCATTGACATATTTTGCCAGACATTTCAGAGGTAAACATGGCTTATTCTAGATAATATATTTCAGAAAATAGAAGGGAAGAGTTTTCAATTCTTTTTATTAAGCCAGAACATGGATTAAAACCCCAAGGCTAGGCCGGGCATGGTGGCTCACGCCAGTAATCCCAGCACTTTGGGAGGCTGAGGCGAGTGGATCACCTGAGGTCAGGAGTTCAAGATCAGCCTGACCAAGATGACAAAACTCCATCTCTACTAAAAACAGAAAATTAACCGAGCATGGTGGCGCATGCCTGTAATCCCAGCTACTCAGGAGGCTGAGGCAGGAGAATCACTTGAACCCGGGAGGCGGAGGTTGCAGTGAGCTGAGATCATGCCATTGCACTCCAACCTAGGCCACAAGAATGAAACTCCATCTCAAAACAAAACAAAACCCCAAGGCTATCAGTAACATCAACTTTTAGTGCCTCAGTTTTATCGTCTGTAAAATGAGACTAATAATTACTACCTACCTCATTGGAGTGCCATGCAGACCAAAATACTGTTTAGCAGTAGGCACGGTGTTCAGCACATGCTGGGTCCTGAATGCTTGCATGCCTCTGGATCTCCCAAAAACACAGTGGGAGGAAAGAATAAAAAAAAAAAAACACAAAATACAGGAACCAGGCTTCCAAATATTCACAGTCATGTACTTCGACTTAACAAAATGATTAAATTAGATAGTTTTTAAACCAAAAGGTTAATTTGAAAATTTATTTTCAAGGAAAGTTCCCTGTGGCTTACTTATAATATAATGGGGGAGTATGAGAAAAAGTTAATAGCTTTGTAATTATACCAATTTTCCATTGTAAAAATATTATTCTCATTTATTAGTCTGTCAAGGGATTATCAAGCTAGTTGCTTTATGCCCTTAATTCACAGATCACAAATAGTGTGAATGTGTTGGATGGTTTTAACTCAAATTTCCCTTTTTTATATTGAAACAATTAAACACATTTACTTTTATGGAAGTTGATAATAAACACATTTATCAGAAATTTGACTTTATTAAGCTTAAATAGTCAGTGGTTTTCCTGAATAGTCGAAGGAAGATTGCACAGCTTCCACCTCATATCTGCACATCTGGTTTTACCTCTTCAGCAACACACACGATAAGAACAAGAAACAACAACAAAGATATCCAAATTTATGGTCAGGTTGTCTTTAATTCAGCAAATTAATGTTTTACAATAGTAAGAATGTTGACTAATCACACGACGAGCAAATCTCATAACATCCTTCATTCCTATTTCAGGTCACCTGCTCCTTTCTTTTCTCTCATGTTTCCAACCATCATTGACTGAAATGTTGTTATGCAATGCATGACTAATTATATCTCACTAAACCCAAATTAAATAGTTATCTGACTTAGCTTCCCCTTGGTCAGTTTCCCTAAATTATCACAGCCACTTCAGGACCACTCAGCATGAGGTCAAATGTGACAGAGGAGAAAGTGGAAGTGGAAAGAAACAGAGATCTCAAACAGCTGACATTAAATTGTCTTACTTTTGCTAATTGTACGAAAACGTAACCATGTGTACGTGTTGTTGGGGCCATTCCCAGTGCATTTCTGCGTAGAAGGTATTTGAGGGGAGGCATGAATAATAACTATAAACCAGACATACAAAGTTCTGAATATAGAGCATGGATATAATAATGTTATCATAGTATCATGTATGACGAAGGTTGATCATATGCCCACTTTTTTGTATGAAGGAAAAAGGCACATAGTAGACCCTCAGGCAATAGGAACTAAAAATAAAAATATGTGTGAATATGTAAATAAATAAATGAATCAATTAACCAACCAACCAACAACGTACCCAAGGTTAGAAGGCTGAGCACTTTGTTGCTTGATAGATTAGATTGGGTTAGATAGATGCTCAACCAAGAGAAGGAATAGCCCTTTTTAATGTGTACACGCATGTTCCACACATTCTTCTGACGTCTTCCAAAGACCAGGAGGGCACTGGCCTGGATGCATCAATGGGGTGAGCCACTTGTTGCCCTGGTGGTGCCTGCACAGTTTCATGGAACACGGACTAGCAAGCAGAAGGAGCGCCTCAATGGGCAACAAGGTCTGAAACGATGGAGACGAGATTCTATGTTCTGGCATATTTCATATTCAGGCCTGACTAAAGCTATTAAGTAAATTATATCCTTTAAATTCCATCCATTTTCTTGGTCATTACTGGTCATTAAGAGGAAGGCAAGAAACAAGGATCTACAAGAAGATTCCTTTGGTTGGAAGGATTTTCTTGTTTTACTATTGTCAACCAGCTGGTTGCACTAAGTAACAGAGGGGTGGGACTTTGTCAGATAAGGTGCAGTTAATCAAGGAGGAAGCGTTTAGGAGGAAAGCTCATCCTAGATTAAGACAAGAAAATAAAACCCATGAGAATTGGATAACCTATGATGTGACTGACCTTCTGGGAGAAACAATACATAACTTTGAAATTTCTCATGTCGAAATCACTGAATTTTATTGCTAGACGACACTTTGTGAGAACAATAGGCTCCCACCCCAGGGTTCTGTCTTAGTCATTCCCTCTGCCTGGAATGCTCTTCCCAAATTTCTGAAGCTGACTCTTTCTTATTATTCAAATTTCTGCTAATAGGTCACCCTCCTTGAGAAGCTTTCCCTGGCCATCCTCCTTGTAGGAGGCATTCTTGAGGATTTCTTAATTAAATTACCCAATTTCCTTTACCTACAAAAAAAAATTATACTTAGCTTGGAATATTTTAGGCACACACTCAGTTACAAGCTTCTTGTCTGTCTCTGCTGCTAGAAGATAAGCCGCTGTTAATCAGGAGCTCTGTCTAGTCCTGTTTGCAGCTCTATTCCTAGTGCCTAGGAAAGAGCCTGGGACCCTTATGCAAATATTTGTTGAATCCACAAATGAACCTAGATATGTTTCCCTTGAGGAGACTGGGGCCCAGCAAAGCATTTGACCAGGGTCATGTAGATGACTTGTGGCAGAGCTCAGATACAAAATGGGGCACTCAACCATTTGCGTATTCAGGTTTGTAGGCTCTTGGTGAAAAATCCAATATTTGTATTCTTGATGCTTGGTAATAACTTGAATGCTGATGATGTGGAGATACACTGAGATGTCAAAAATGCAGTTTTTACACACTCTCAAGTCTTGCCACCTGGGAAGAAATTAACAGTGAGAATTTTCTGAAGCACTAACATTTCACCTCCACAAGAGAGTTTGGGAAATTTTCTGTCCCACAAATGACATTAGCAATTTAGAAAATGATTTAAAACAAAAGGGCATTTCACGATATTGCCAATAACACTTAGCAAATCTCATTAATGAGATACTCTGATGTGGAAATCACTACAATTCTATTTCACAGCAAAATACTGTAATTAAGCCATTGTGTGTCTGTGTTATTTAGCAAATGAATAATTACATGATGCCCTGGAGACTTTCTGCTACTTTGGAGCATCAGGCTAATGCCCTTGCAGTCGTGTCTGGAACTCACTTTAATGAGCAATATATTCTGAGCCATGCTCAGGGCAATTGACTGCTATATAAAAGGAGATAGTGGAACAACAGCCAAATTCAGTGTGCTGCAGGCCATAAAGCATCAACGATGACTGATATATCTGTACTAGGACATTGTGAAAAACAGAGAGTTCTTAATTCACCAATGGTAACTGAGTATCTTGTAAGGATGTACCAGGCTCTGTACTAGACACTAGAAATATGAGGTTGACACAGCTCCTGATACTCATAGACTCATTGTCTGTTTAAAGGTATTTACAAATAAATCATTCAATCAAATTAGAACAAAGATAATATCACCATCTGTACCATGTCTAGCTTCTGCTCTTCTTCCAATCCCAAATGTCTTTACCAAGGAGACATTTGACATTCTGGGTCTAGAATTCTGTCCAAGAAAGAGGTGGGTTGTGCCAGAGAAAGAATCATGTATTTAGTTTAATTTTAAAAATATATTTTCAGCAGGTCAACAAGACACTGGAAGAACAAACATGATAGAAAGTAGAATGTTATTGAGTATGTGTGCTCCTACAATCTCTGGTGGTTTGAGCCAAGATAGAGTTGATATTTTACCAAGTATAAAAGGAGGTCTGGCCCTATTTGAGCTGCAGTCAGCAATGTGTTACCCAAGCTTGAAGCACCATCCTTCCACTAATGCTGCTACATTACATGTTCATGTCGAAAGTAGTAATTAGGCAGAGATCCCTGTGAGGTCTAGCTAGCCTCACGTATGCCCTCAGTTGGCCCCCAGTGATCCCAGCCTTCTGGTAGACACACCCAAATATAAATCCTTCCATATTAGACCATAGTTCGTCTGTGATCAGTATCATACAGCACAAGTGGTTGTCTGTCACCTCTGAGATTACGTTATAAAAGACTGTGACTTCTGTCTTGGGGCTCTCTTATTCTCTCTATCTCCCTTAGGAAAAAATCTACATTGTGAGCAGCTTGATGGAGAGTCCCAGTGGTGAGAAACTGAGGCTTCCTCCGCCAGCTACATGAGTGAACAAGGAAATGGGTCCTGCAGCCGAAGTGGAGCCTTTGGATGACTGCTACCCTGAAAACATTTGAATGCAACGTTACGAGAGACCTTGAGCCAAACCATCCAGCTCATCCCCTGCTATATCCCACACCCACAGATAGTCTGAGATAATGAAGGTTTGCTATTTATATGTGTAAGTTTTAGAGTAAGATACTACACAGAATATAGAACCCATACATTGTCATTCTTCAAAAGGGAGTTATATAAAACATCCTGTGTCCAAACTTATTTGAACATGAGCCCGTTGGACACAGAACATTTCATGGACTAGTATTCCACAAAACCCACTGTGCTTCAAGCATTTAATAACTCTGAAAACTCAGCTATAATCGAGTAATAGCTTGTTCTCACTTGCCTCCAACTCTAAAGAAAAAGAGTCAACAAAATGGGTAAGTTTAAAAAGAAGAAGAAACAAAGAAGACAGCTTTGGTTGTCAAGTGAGAGTCCAAGTGACAAAATTCACATTGGTGACTTACTCATTACTACAGGGCCCTTAAATCTCAAGTGACGGGAACTATTTTACAGACACAGGCCCTTAAATCCCAACTGAAGGAATAAAGTCTGCAGTTTCCTCTTTCCTCCAGAGACTGAGAAGATACCCCGTAAAAATGTAGCTGCAGGTTGAAGCATGGGTCACCCTCTAGGAAGATTGTCCTGCCTGTGACATACCAACACCTAAAGATAGGGATGCTGAATTAAATCGTGTGCTCAGGGACTCTCTGGTTTCATAAAAGAAATTGCTTCTGTTTATGAGGATCATTTTGTACCCTTACCCTCAAGTTGAACTTCTCTTTCAGATTCCATAGCAAAATGGGCAAAAAGAAAGCAAAAAGAGCTTGGGAGCTTCTTAGTTTACTTTTCTGTGTTGGAGTGGCACTGACAGGTCATGGATGTTGCACCAGGACAATGCTTCTCAGCTGGCAATTCTTGGAACCCATGGTCCAGTTACTGGCCTGAAAGTTCTACTTTGTGCACAGCTAGAGACAAACTGAAAGGTTTAGATACATGAATGAATGTCATGGGATAGAAGTAAATGTCCTTCCAGGTACACAACAAACTGAGATGACTTTAAATTCCAGCTACAAGCTGCTGACTTCCAAAGTGACCTTTGCCTTGAACTCTGGACTTTTATATATCCAACTGCCTATTAACATGTCGGATTGGATGCCTGATCAACATCTCACACAAAAATCACCCAAAGTTGAACTCTTGATCTTCTCCCCTACACCAGTTACTCCCCATTCTCTTTTCTTTGAATGAAACCCAACTTCTTCAAGTCACTCTGATCAAAACTACAGAGTCATTGTTAAAGACCCCTCCCTCCACATCCCACACAGAGTTCATCAGCGGCCCCTCTCAGTTCTGTGTTCACCTGCATCTTCGACCTGACCATGCCTCCTTACCTGCACTACAGGCATGCCCATTCAGGGGGGCAAGGGTCTCCCTGATGCTGCCTACCCCTCCCACTTCTGTTCTTCACGCAACAGCCGAGTGCTTTTTACAAACAGAAACTGGACGTCAAATGGCTCAAAACCCTGCAGTAGCTTCCAATCCTACTCGGAATAAAATCCAAAGTACTTTCAAAGCCTACAAATTCATGCAAATTGCCGGCCTCAGCCACCTCCATGACCTAGCCCCCTCATTGCTCCTTCACTCACTCCACGCCAACCCTCAGCCCCAGCACAGAACCCTGGCCACACCAGGGCCAGCCGCTTCAGGGTGGCTGGGGAGACTCTCTCGTCCTACATCTCTCCACCGGTCCTCCCCCTACTCCCTTTGGGGCTCTGCTCTTCAGGGAAGCCCTCCCTGACCACTGTGTCTGAAGGAGAACCCCTGTACTTCTGTTTACTCTGTCCCTTTACCTACTTTATTTTTCTTATAATCTTTTAGCATTTATCACAACCTGACATAATTATAAATTTTTCAATAGTTACATTATTTTTTCAGGGATGCCATAGAAAGTATTACAAACTGGATGTCTTAAAACAACATGAAATTATTCTGTCACCATCCTAAAGGCCAGAAGTTGGAAATCAAGGTATTGGCAGGGTTGGTTCCAACTGGCAGCTGTGAAGTGGAATTTATCTCAAGCTTCTCTCCTCACGTCTGGTAATGACTGGTCATTCCTGGGGCACATAGGCTTGTAAATGCATCACTCCACTCTCTGCCTCCATCTTTAATGGCATTCTCTCTGCATGTCTGTGTCTCTCTGTGGTTGTCTTCTTATAAGGACACCAGTCAGATTAGATTAGGGGCCCATGTTACTCCACCTATTATTAATTTAACTAGTTAATGACCTCCTATTAATTTAACTAATTACACCTTCAATGACTCTACTTCCAAATAAGTTCATATTTCCAAATAAGGTCATAGAGATATATTAAGATTTTATCTGTACGGGGGGGATACAATTCAACCTTTAACAGTAGATGTTTATTTCCTCCCACCAATATATAAGCTCTGGAAGACCAATGAAGGACTCATTGGCTTTTTTATTAGCTGGCTTTCCAGACCCCAAAACAGCACTCAGGAGGTGGGTGGCACTTGATAAACACTTGCTGAACTGAAGTGCAAGATGCCTGATGCAGAGACAACCTTAAAGACCTGGCTGAAGCTCAGCTGGTTTCTGTGCTGCCCAGGCCTCCAAGCTACCAACCCGGCACCATCTTCCCTGTGAATCCTTGCACCTGTTCTTCCCTCTGCTTAGAAATTCTTCCCCAGGTCACTGCGTGGCTGGCTTGTCCTCATTCCTTTTATCTCAGAGCCAACAACACTTCCCCAAACAGGCCTTCTCTGTCCATCCAAACTCTTGTAGCCCTCACCCCAGCTTCCATCATATAACCTATTTTAAACTCTCTGCATACCACATCTGAGCTATAGTTATATGCTTATCAATGGCTAGAAATTTAAAACCACCAGCATACCAAAGGATCTGGCACACCTTGAAACAAACACTATAGCTATGATCGGACATGCAAATAGATACAGCAGAAGAAAACAGGAAGTCGACTGCCAACAAGATCATTCTCAATTATACATTAAGTACCCATTCATTCATTTATTTATTTAATAATTACTTAGGTGAATACCAGCTGCATCCAGACTTTGCTCCAGACAATGGCCTCTGTGTTCAAATAAACTGGTGCAGCCTCTGTCCTCCGGATACTCATCATTGCAGAAGGGATTAGCATGAGAAGTGAAGGTGAGATGATAGATAAGACAGAAAGATATCTTTGGTCAGGGAAGGCTGTGCAGCTCTCCTAACAACAACTGGAAGTTGCACAAATGGCTTTTGTTCACATGCAACTTGCAAAGTCCACAATCAACCTATGTGAGTGGCACAGTGTGTGTATCTATGAATGTGGCATAACAGGTTAGCCATGTAATTACATAAAATAAAATGAAACATTCTTTCCAAAAGACAGAATATTTCATCCTAAAGTGATGGTACTTGGTTAAGGCCAGCTAACTTAAATACTTTCTCTTCAAATCATGCAGAATTTCTTACATGAAATTATGGAAAAGGGAGAAAGACGGGGAGGTAGCACTCAAAGACTCAATCCTTTTCTTTTTCAAAGATGTACATTTTATCTGGGGCACATCTTTATGTCTTTTTTAAATGGCTTATTTTATCAGTGACTTGGTAGTAGATAATAGGCATAACAATAAAATAATTTAATAGAGAGGCAGGCTGTTGGGGGACAGTTAGGAAAAACAAATAGTGACATAAAAGTCTCATAGTCATTTCCATTAGCAACAACCATTAATGAGGAGCCTTGCAAATTTCCTTGGGTTAGTTTAATCAACTACCTTTCAAAAATTAGGTGTAAAGATTCGGGTTTGAAATCACTATGTGGGCAGATCTTTAGGCAGAAAGCCTCCAACTTCCTCTGACTCAAGGTCTATCTGCTCAGAGGAGCGAGATCCTCAGTTAGAAATAAGAATCTGCACTCAACAAGAAAAGCCATATCTGTATTCAAAGTGGACTCAGAGTTTGCAGGAGAAAACAGATCATCAATGTTTTTGATTAAACAAGTATCAGTGGCAACACATAAAATTGAATCTGGTATTTTGAATGATAAGGCTGGGTCCCCACAGCTCACACTGCATAGCTTAAACTGGGAAGCTTGGGAAATTGTCAGAAACCTACCCAAGGCCTGCGCTTTGGCAGAGTTTCTATTTGACACCATCCATTTCTGTTTGAAGAACTGAAGATGCTATGAAAAGAGTATCAAGCTTAAATAAATACTGAACGTTGAATATGTATCAAGTGCCTTCTTGATACATATTCAAGGCTCCAAGTACTGTTCTGGAACTACGAAGTCAGGTTCAAATCCAGCTTGGCCTCTCATAACTTTCATAAGTCCCAGCCTCACCATCTAATAGAGCTGATACTGCTATTGTCTTCACTGTGGCTTTGGTTTTGGTTTGTTTTTTTTTCTTTCTTTCTTCTTCTTTTTTTAGAGAACAAAAGGAAATGATATGTAGCAGCAGTTGGCAAACTATGGCCCATGGGCCAAATCCAGCATACTACCTGTTTTGATAAGTAAAGTTGGAACACAGCCATGCCTATTTGTTTACCTGGTTGTCTGTCTACTTTCACACCACACACCCAAGCTGATTAGTTACAACAGACACTGTCTTGCCAGTAAATCTTAAAATATCTACTTTCTGTCCCTTTCCAGAAAACCTTTACAAACCCCTGATATATAACATAGGGTCACCAGCAACTGATGGAAGGAGCACGTGTCACTCTGCTGAAAATGGTAACATTATCTCATACCCCTGGATGGGAGAGAATGCAAGTATCTAGACAGCAGCACTAATGACTTCTGCATGTCTTCCTGAAGACTTGTTCAAAGGTGACTTAGCAGTCACATGGAAAACTAAGCCCAAAATGTAATCCACCCTTAATCATCCACAACCTTCATAAGATCTACCTTTGCGATGCTTCTCTTAATCCCTTACTGCTATAAACTGAATGTTTATTTCTCCAAAAAGTGTATATGTTGAAACCTAATCACCAATACACTAGATGGTACTAGAAAGTGGGGCCTTTGCAATACCATTCAGGACATAGGCATAGGCAAAGATTTCATGACTAAGGCACCTAAAGCAATTGCCACAAAAGCAAAAATTGACAAATGGGAGTTAATTAAACTAAAGAGCTTCTGAACAGCAAAAGAAACTATCAACAGAATAAATAGAAAACCACAGAATGGGAGAAAAATTTTGCAAACTATGCATCTGACAAAAATCTAATATCCAGCATCTACAAATTTACAAGAGAAAAAAACAAAACAACCGCATAAAAAAGTGGGCAAAGGACATGAACAGATACTTTTCAAAAGAAGACATACATGGCAACCAACAATTTTGTGAATAAAAAGCTCAACATCAATGATCATTAGAGAAATGCAAATCAAAACCACAATAAGATATCATCTCACACGAGTCAGAAGGGCTACTATCAAAAAGTCAAAAAATAACAGATGCTGGCAAGGTTGTAGAGAAAAAGGAACACTTATAAACTGTTGGTGAGAGTTCAGCCATTGTGGAAGACAGTGTGACAATTCCTCAAAGTTCTAAAGACAGGAATACCATTCAACCCAGCAATCCCATTACTGGGTATATACCCAAAGGAATATAAGTTATTCTATTATAAAGACACATACATTCATGTATTAATTGCAGCACTATTCACAATAGCAAAGACATGGAATAAACCTCAGTGATAAACTGGATGAAAAAAATGTGGTACATATACACCATGGAATACTATGCAGCCATAAAAAAGAATGAGATCTTGTCCTTTTCAGGGACATCAATGGAGCTAGAGGCCATTATCCTTAGCAAACTAACACAGAAACATAAAACCAAATACTGCATGTTCTCACTTATAAGTGGGAACTAAATGATGGGAACACATGGACACATAGAGGGAAACAACACACACTGGGGCCTTTCAGAGGGTGGAGGGTGGGAGGAGGGAGAGGATCAGGAAAAACAACTAATGGGCACTCGGCTTAATACCTGGGTAATGAAATAATCTGTATGACAAACCCCCATGACACAAGTTTACCTATAAAACAAACCTGCACTTGTACCCCTGAACTTAAAAGTTAAAAAAAAAAAAAAAGAAAGTGGGCCTTTGGGAGTTGATTGGGTTGCATGGGCAGAGCCCTCCTGAATGTCATGACTGCCCTGGTATAAGACACCACAGAAAGTTCCCTCCTTCCTTCCAACATGGAAGGACACGCACACTGGGCCCTTCACTTCAACTTTTTGTGAAAAGATGGCCATCTATGGACCAGGAAGTAAAAACTCAACAAATGCTGAATCTGCCAGCACCTAGGACTTCCCAACCTCCAGAACCATGAGAAATGTATTTCTGTTGCTTATAAGCCACCCAATTTATGAAATTCTGTTATAGTATCCCAAATAGACTAAGTTACTCACCACCACCATTAAAAATGGAAAAGAGAGAGGCTCACCCTTCACTCAGGATGGGTCACATTGGTACCAAAGATAGGATCCAGGATAACTACAAAAAAGATAATACTCATTGGGGTACTTAAAAATCAACATCTAAAAAATTTACATTTATTAAGTTTTTCTGTGAAGATAAGAGAGAAAAAGTCATAAATCAGTGCTTTGTAATATTTTCTCCAGGCTCAACTCTTCTACAGGTATACAATTAACAGTGACTCAGGCCAGCAATTCCCAAAGGGAACTGGGGGCAAGAGTGGAGCAAGCGCAGCAGAGTTCTCAGCAGCAAATCAGAAAGTCCACTGGAAGGGGAAAAGAGCAAATGTGTAATAAACCAACCAAGAAGTTTCATAATGTCCCATTCCATTGCTTCCCTCTCCATAGTTTGAAGGGGGTCCCTAACTTACAGAAAAATTATGACTAGCTTTGGTCACAAAAAAAAGGCAATAATCTTCTAAGGCAATAATAATAATAATAAAACTAAAGATAAGAACATATTTAAAGCCTTAGCAATTTTTATAAAACAGGATAAAGGTTAAAACCCAATGCTGTTAAATCTCATCAGAAATTAAATAAATGCAAATAATACAAGATTGTATTTGCTTGTGTTTTATTTGCTTATGTTATGTAATTATGCTTGTCTCAGTATCTAAGTTTTACTAACACTGCTTTTTTTTTGGCATAGTGTTAAATGTTTAATTGCACAAAAGGCAATGGATCTCAAATTAACCAATAATGTGAGTCTGTCCTCTGCTCAATTGCTTAAGATATTTTCTGAATCAATTAATGTATGCAAATAGGAATTTCAGAAAGATTGGTTTTAGACATCCAAACACCGAAGCACCCCTAGTGAGAATTTGACTTTGCTCTTAAATTTTTCTTGAGTTGGGATTACAACAGAAAGAAGTGTGTTGTCTCTTTAAGAAATCCGGGCCACGTGTGGTGGCTCATGCCTGTAAACCCAGCAATTTGGGAGGCCAAGACAGGAGGATCCCTTGAGGACAGGAGTTCAAGACCAGCCTGGGCAAGATGGTGAGACCTTGTCTCTACAAAATAAATAAATAAATAAATAAATAAATAAATAAATAAATAAATAATTTGCAAGGCATGGTGGCACACTACTATAATCTCAGATACTTGGGAGGCTGAAGCAGCAGGATCCCTTGTGCCCAGGAGTTCAAGGCTGCAGTGAGCTATGATCTTGCCACTGCACTCCAGCCAAGAAAGACGCATCTCTTAAAAATTAAAAAAATAAAAATCTGCACTAGGGTTTTGCTATTCCTCCATACTATAAAGAAGCACAAACTTTTCTTTCTATGGTGGACCACTGTGCTTTTCACTCAGTTTCTATTTGAATGTTTAGTTCAAGGCATGCTCTATAGAATAGTTCCTGGCCACATAAGATGATACAGTTTATTTTCTCTAGAAATCAGTTCACAAGAACACAGATATAAATCATTCAAGGAACAACGCCCTGTCCATGTTATCTGATGACATGAGGTTGCCACATGACAAATCCATTATGTGTCTTGCACTTCCTTTGGTCTGGTATTACCTGTCAAAACACTGCCAACCTTGCTTGATTTTTCCTCATCTCTTCTCCTTTGGCAACATTAGTCTTTACTGAATGGCTTATACCTTCATCATTCATAATTCTTCATGGTGAGAGTTCATCAAAATATGAAGTTTTTCTATATTTTTAACAAAATCCAAGTTTTCACCTACAAAACTTTTTAAATTGGTGATTTTCTTTTCCTTAGAACAGTTTTAGATTGACAGAAAAAAAAATGAATGGAAAGTGCAGAGAGTTCCCATATACTGTAACCCTTACAATACTTTTTAAACAATACAGACATACCTCAGAAATATTGTGGGCTCAAGGCCGGGTGAGGTGGCTCACACCTTTAATCCCAGCTCTTTGGGAGGCCAAGGTGGGGGGGAACACGAGGTCAGGAGTTTGAGACCAACCTGACCAACATGGTAAAACCCTGTCTTTACTGAAAATACAAAAATTAGCCAGACGTGGTGGCACGTGCCTGTAATCCCAGCTACTAAGGAGGCTGAGGCAGGAGAATCGTTTGAACCCAGGAGGCGGAAGTTGTACTGAGCTGAGATGGCACCGCTGCACTCCAGCCTGGGCAACAGAGTGATACTTGATACTCTGTACCCCCCCGCCAAAAAGAATAAAAAGAAAAACAAATATTGTGGGTTCAGTTCCAGACCACCACCATAAAGTGAAAACCACAATAAAATGTGTCACACAAACATTTTAGCTTCCAGTTCATACGAAAGTCATATTTACACTATATAGTAGTCTATTAAGGGTGCAATAGCATTATGTGTGAAAAAACAATGAATGTACGTATCTTAATTTTAAAATACCTTATTTTAAAATAAATGCTCACGATCATCTAAGCCTTCAGTGAGTTATAATATTTTTGCTGGTGGAGGGTCTTGCCTCCATGGTGCTGCCTTCGGACTGATCAGGATGGTAGTTACTAAAGGTTGGGTGGTTATGGCCATTTCTTAAAATAAGAAACAATGAAGTTTGCGGCAGAGATTAACTTTTTTTCAATTCTTCATCCATTTAAATTTCATTATGAGTTTGCAGCAATGCAGTCACATATTCAGATGCCACTTTTCATTCTAGGTATCTTGCTGTTTCCACCACATCTGCAGTTATTTCGTCCACTTACACCCTGCAAAGTCATCCATGAGGGTTGGAATCAACTTCTCCCAAAGTCCTGTGGATGCTGATATTTTGTCTTCTCTCCATGAATCATGAATCTCCTTAATGACATCTAGAATGGTGAACCTTTTCAAGAAGGTTTTTAATTTACTTTACCCAGATCCGTCAGAGGACTTACTCTCTATGGCAGCGATAGCCTTATGAAATGCATTCTTTAAATAGTAACACTTTAAAGTCATTATTACTTCTTGGTCCGTGGGCTTCAGAATGGACGTTGTGTTAGCAGGAGTGAAAACGACATTATGTTGTTTATATTTAAAACATAAATATTTTAAATACATTTTGTAATATATAAAATGTAAACATAATATATATTTTAAATATGTCATTTCAAATATATTAAATATGTATATTATATATAAAATATATGTAATATGGTAAATATGATATTAACTATTAATTTACATATAAATTTTATATATTAATTATATAAATATGTAAAAGTATATTAATATTTATTTATATATAATTATATATATTTAAAACAACACTATGTTGTTTATATTTATAATGTTGAAAACAACATTAGTCTTCTTGTACATCTCCTTCAGAGCTCTTGGGTGAGCAGTAGCATTGCGAATGAGCAGTAATATTTTGAAAGGAACCTTTAGTTCCTCAGCAATGGGGATCCAGAGTGGGCTTGAAATATTCACTAAGCCATGCTATGAACAGATGTGCTATCGTCCAGGCTTTGTTGCTCCATTTATAGAGCATAAGCAGAGTAGGCTTAGCAAAATTCTTAAGGACTCGAGAATTTTCAGAGTGGTAAATGAGTATTGGCTTCAATTTAAAGTTGCCAGCAACAATAGCACCTAAGAAGACAGTCAGACTATCCTTTGAAGTTTTTAAGCCAGTCATTGACTTCTCCTCTCTAGCTGTGAAAGTCCTAGAGGGCATCCTCTTCCGATGGAAGGTTGTCTCATCTAGACAGAAAATCTGTTGTTTAGTGCAGTCACCTTCATCAATGATCTTAGCTGGATCTTCTGAATAATTTGTTGTAGCTTCTCCATCAGCACTCGCTGCTTCACCTTGCACTTTATTATGAAGATGGCTTCTTTCCTTAAACCTCATGAGCCAACCTCTGCTAGCTTCCAACTTTTCTTATGAAACTGCCTCACTTCTCTCGGCCTTCATAGAATTAAAGAGAGTTGGGGCCTTGCTCTGGATTAGGCTTTGGCTTTAAAGGATGTTCTGCCTGGTTGGGTCTTCTATCCAGACCAATCCAACTTTCTCCATATCAGCAATAAGGTTGTTTTGCTTTCTTATGATTCATGTGTTCACTGCAGTGGCACTTTTAATTTCCTTCAAGAAGTTTTCCTTTGCATTCACTACTTAGCTGTTTGGTGCAAGAGACCTAGCTTTCAGCTTGTCTTGGCTCCTGACATGCCTTCCTCAGTAAGCTAAATCATTTACAGCTTTTGATTTAAAGTGAGAGACGTGACTCTTTCTTTTACTTGAACACTTAGAGGCCATTGTAAGCTCATTATTGGGCCTAATTTTATTACTGTGTAGTCTCAGGGAATAAAAAGTCTTAGAAGAGGGACAGGGATGGGGAAATGGCCAGTTGGTAGAGTAGTCAGAACACACACAATATTTATTGATTAAGTCCATTGTCTTATATGAGTGCAGTTTTTTGTGCCCTAAAATATTTCATACTAGTAACACCAACAATCACTGGTCACAGATGACCATAACAGATATAATAAAAATAATAAGGCTTGAAATATTATGAGAACTACAAAAATGTGGCACAGAGACATGAAGTAAGCACATGCTGTTGGAAAAAAATGGCACTAATAGAGTTTCTCAATGTAGAGTTGCCACAAACCTTCAATTTGTTTAAAAAAAGAAACCAGAAAAACAAAAAAAACACAATATCTGAGAAGTTCAATAAAGCAAAGTACAATAAAATGAGGTATGCTTGTACTTTAAGGCATTTATCACATTATAATGTATTAAAACTTTACCCACCCAAGGTTGACAGACTGCAGAGATGGCAACTTTTTGTATAATGTTTTATTAGGACTATAGTCATATTCGTATGGTTTGCAGTCAAACACATTCATCCTGTTATCCTGCAGTTCACATCTCACTTGATAACACAATCTGATGACAGCCAATGAAAATAAGCATTCATTCATATTTTAGAATGGATTTCAAGGGAATATTAGCAAGGAATAAAATGCAATTCAAAAGAAAAAAAAAGTACTTTTACAGAACAAGTGGCTCCAAATTAGAAATATGAAAAAGAATAAGAAAAGATAAAGGACATTGAAATTTAAAAGTTTTTTTTTATATTTATATAACTCTAGTTACATACTTTTTTCCTCATGTAATCTTTTATCTCTTCTAAAGAGAACGAAGTGTTCATCCTCACAAATCAAAGTGATGACTATGATAGGAATTCTTCTTTCATTTAAAAAACATTACAACTTGATTAGTCACATAGTTCAACAAAATATATTTCTTATACAGAGACCAGAAATATCAACACTATGAACCGAAACTGTGACTCCTGAGTTTGCAGAGCTGGAGAATCCCATTTGGACTCCTGTAGCACAATTCCAGGACCCGGGAGACTATGGTAACTGGCGTGGCACCCACTCCAGCTCCTGTCTCCATCAGTATCCACTGCCCACCTGGAACCCCTCCCCTACTCTTTGCCCAAGTCCCTCAACTAGGGGCTGATCTCTACCCCTGGTTCAGAGCTGGCTACAGTGAGTGGTTCAAGATGGGCACCTGATCCCAGTTATGCCAAACAGCCTGTGACGAGCAACCCCAGGACTTGTGCTGAGACTATCTGGGGACAGCAGCTTTCTCCTGGAAGTGACCAAGTCAGCAGATGTTTTCCGGGAGCTGTTGGCAATCATCCTGCCTCCAGGAGAAAAGAGTCTGCCTGGGAAAAATCAAGACAGGGAGACAAGTTGCTAAGGATACTGCTTGAGGACATGGACCCCACATTCCTGGTACCAGTCCACCCCTGAGCTTTTCCTTTTGCATGAGGAACGTAAGCCATCTTTTATGTTGGATTTTATTAGTATAATACCAGATAAGCAAGCCAGCAAACAAGAGGAAGTATTCCACTTTGAAACGCAAATTCCCCTTTACAAAGCTAGGAAGAAAACCAATCAAACTCCAATCCTCTTATAATCAACTTTACAGAGTGTGACAGGTGCTGCTGGCTGTCCATTCTCTCGCCTGTGTGCCAGGGAAGCAAAGCTGGCCTCCAATGCACAGCCAGATGCCAGGCACCACTCTTCAAGGAGAGGCATGGGATTTATTGCTCACCAGTGGGATCTGAGGGAAGCCTACTGTAAGTATTGTGGGAAAGATTTTATTTCATGGCTAAAGTGAGATGCATGAGGACAATGTCCTCTCTTGCTGATAGACCTGGGTAAAATTTGTGATGCCTGGAGGAGCTGCACTCATCTTGAAATCAAGATACAGTCAGCCTATGAATGTGGTTGAGTGGAGAAAGAGAGAGCCTCTGGGTGACATTGTTGTGCTGCTGAATTTACCAACCATAGAATCACCTGCCTCTGCACTTCTTATAAGAAATCACAATCCCCTATTCTTTCAGCCACTGTTAATGAGGTGTTCTATCACTTGGAGCTGAAAGCATGCTAAAGGCAGGAGAGCTGTCCCTGAGTAGCTGTCACTCCAGCTCTGAAAGTTTCCAGCAGCAGATAGAGATTTTCAGAAGTACCACAGGCTAAATGAGGTTGCAGACTTAAAGCATAGCTGTAATGGATACAGACCTAGATATGCAGCTTGGGATAGGAGGCATCGGATTGCTTGATCACTTTTCACCTCTCAAATGAAACTTCAAAAGGATACAAAATTATAGATAGATAGGAGGAAAGTCTTCTAGTGCTCTATGCCACAGTAGGATAACTGCAGATAACAATACATAACATAGTTTCAAATAGCTAGAAGGAGCATGTTGAACATTCCCAACAAACAGAAAGATAAATGTTTGAGATGATGATATGCTAATTACCCTGATTTGATCACTATACATTATATGTATTAAAACATCACTATGCAACCCATAAGTACAATTATTATTTGTCAATTAAAATATGTAGATGCAATTATTAGTAAGCTTCAAAAGGTGGCAGAAGCCATGAATGAGGTTTGCTCTAGTCTTCCAAAAATGTAGCAACCCTGTAGACCACCACTGGAAAAAGAGAGCTCTGGCCATTGTGCAATTCCTTATCCATTCTCTCAATCCTTCATTCCATCATTCATTCACACAACAGACATTTATTGAGCATCTATGTTGTTTTTAACACTGTGAACTTTTAAAAGAATGTATGGTCTAGAGAAGAAGAAAAGATGACAGATTGTAATAAAATATATGGTCATGGGTACCAGACCCCACATGGCATGTACCGTGAGTTGACAGTGATTTTGAAGCAGGCAAGGACCATGTCCAGACCAGCCCTTTGGCCAGACCACCTTAGCAATCCCCAGAAGATGTGTGCTCAATGAAAGGTACAAAGTGTTAAGACAAAACAATTCTGAAGATGGCTTTTGCAACAGGAGTGACCACTTACTCTGCCTGCCAGATGCTTTGGTGCAAAGTTACTGTCAATTTGATTGTTCTTTTCTGTTTCCCAATGAGATCAACCCCATAAACTCCAAGAATAACTTTCAAGATAGCAAAGAAAATTTGCCAGCCAGCAATGCGAAGCTCACCTCACTAAATATTCTGAAGTCCTGAGATACATTTAGTCTCAGTAAAGAGCAGGAACCCAGGTGTTATGTCTGCAAAATGATTTAAGCACAAAGGTCCAATTACCAGCCAGTGCTACCCTAGTTTTGCACATAAAAATGTACATCTTATACTTGCCTCTTAAATCATTTCTATTTTTTTTTCCTTTTCAATCCTTAACTACACTGCAAAGTATAATAATAACTATAATATTTTTTTTAAAAAAGACCATATTGTTATCCAAACTCTTTTGGTGGCAAATGTGAACTAAGCTAACTTTTGCCACCTCAACTCTAATTAGGTCATTTGTATATAAAAAGCACAAAGAATAAAAGCCTCAGATAGCGGCACATCCCTGTGATGGAGCCACTGGGAAACTGTATGGCTGGAGCTACACTGATGAGTTGAAAGAAACACGTCACCCATAAAACTGAGAAGCATCGTTTCATAAAAGCGCACTCACTCATTGTTTTGCTATCAGGTCTCGCAGGCATCCTCTGTGGCCTTGAGGACTGGGCGCTTTCCTGATGTGTGTGCCTAGGTGACAGCGCACGCAGGCAAGGGTGGCAATTGTCTGAACGTTGCTACTTCATTCCCTCCAGCACTTCCTACTGGTCTTTGTTGCTGATTTTTACTGCCATTGTCTGTATACCTGCGACTGTCTTCATTAGGCTGACTGGAAAATGTATCCATGAAATTTTGGTTCTAAACAGGTGGTGAAATTTGATATCTGTTATGGGAGCTGGTCCCCAGTGAAAGGCAGGCTTAATGTGGTCCCAGTGAAAGGCAGTCTCCTCTGGGAGGTGTGGGGAGAGTGGCTCTGCTGTAAGAATGAAACAGCCCTTTATTTTGCAAGCACCCTGATGTAGGAGCCACAGAAGTTTCCCATGTGCATTAATTTTACGTTTAATCAGTGTTTTGGGAATCAGATCACTTTCTGCTTCAGGGTCCCCAGCATGATGTGAGTGAGACAGATGCCTCTGGGGGAAGTGATGGAATCTGCAGGGCCTGTACTTCACCTGTAGAGGTGGAAGCATCATCAAGGGAGGGGGGGCATGAGAGGTATGGGGCTGTGGAAGCTCAGGGCATTGAATCGTTGAGGGGACAGAGTAGGAGGCTGCTGCACTGAGCACACTGTGAGCAGAAAAGGATGGGAGCGCCCCATCCTCGGAGCACTGGAAAAAGGCACTAGAAGAGCTCAGAGCCCTGACTTCTTCCCGCGCTCCTGCAATATTCTCATGTTGCTAAAAACCAAAGTACATCTCCACAATAGCAGAAATTTCACAGGCAGCCTCCAAGATCCCCCATGGCCTCAGGACCTGCTGCGATGCTGTGGATGTGTCTGGAGAACAATGAGGGAGAGGGCAGGGCTGTGGAGCACCCACCCATTTCTTGTTGTGCCTCAGTGAAATGTAAGTGATGCCCCACAGATGTGTGTGGACTTTCCAGGACATGAATGCTCAAGAGGTCAGTGGTGCCAGCTGTGAAAATGACCACCTCCCCTTTGCTTCCCAGAGGCCTATGGAACAGTGAGAAATGCCCAGTGAGGCTCTGGGAACCCTTTTCCACAGGATATATCCAAATGAATGCCACGCTGCAGGAAAACAGTGCATGAAGGAACTAAAGTGGCTGCCAGCACAGAGAGTATACATCACACCAAACACCTCCATCCTGCACCCAAGCAAATTGGAAGCAAAGCTTCCTTGTGAAAAATAAACTAATCAAATCCACAAACCAACAGCTAGGCCCAAGTCTCCCATTATAAAAATGTCATGACTCCTCCTGTTTTTTTTATTTAAGAAAAAAAAATAAGGTTAAACCACTTCCAAGACTCAGATAAATAAAGCTCTAATAAAATTTAAGAACTCTAAATAGCAATGAGAAAGAGATTCCTTAACTAAAGGGTTTCCCTGGGAATTCTTCAATTTTTTCCTGCTGTAAATGAACGCTTTTGTGAAAGATATGGAAAATATGAAGGCCATCTAATTACTCTTTGTAAAAGGATGCTTTACCTTCCTAAGCTACTTTCCAAATTACATTGAGAGGATTTTCCCCTGTAGGTTTTTAAATAGACTCTAACACATTCACCTCTAGTTCTTGCTTCCATGTGTCCTAATAAATCACTGCCCACTTTTACTGAAGCAGTTTCCCTCTGGAGATTTGGATTCCCTGACTTGAATAATTATCTTTTACTAACTGGACTTGGTACCTCCTCAAGCCTTTCTTTCTTGTTACCATCATATTCTAAGAATCTGTGTCTGTGAACTGTGGATAGAGATGTCCTGTTCTGTCCCAGCCTCCAGCCATCCTGTCTGCTGCCTGAAGGGCAGTTGAGAATGTCTCAGAGCCTGTGTCTAGACAGGCAGAGTCCCTCCCAATGTGGCCATGGCACCGCCTCATTTCTTTTTTCTACTGTTGCCTCAACCTCCTGGACTCAAGCAAACCTCCCACCTCAGCCTCCAGAGTAGCTGGGACTGCAGGCACATACCACCATGCCTGGCTAATTCTTTTGTTCAATTTTTTTTTTGTAGAGACAGGGTCTCCCTTTGTTGCTTACGATGGTCTTGAACTCCTGGCCTCAAGCAATCCTCCCACCTCAGCCTCCCAAAGTGCTGGATTACAGGCATGAGCCACTTATCTGGCTGAAGTTCTATTCAGCAGGCTTATTCTACAACAGTGGGTGTCTGTTTTGACTACTGTTCTTTTGCCATGGTTCACTTTTCCAAGAGCAAGTAGATAAAGAACTTGGCAATAAAACCTAAATTTTATTGAGTACTTGCTACATGCTAAGGCATTGTTCTAAATGTTTTGCTTTTAATTTTTCATTCAATCCACCTTATATTTACATAGTATAGGTACTACTGTTATTCCTATTTGCCATATGGAGAAACTTGTTTGAAATATCACCATATAAGCAAAGCAGATGGTGGTGGTGTAACCAAAAAGCATGTCAGTTGCTCACTGCATGCAAAGTGTGATTAACAAGAGTGAGGTCTAATACCAAGCATAAGTAAATGTATTCCAAAGCTAGTTTGGGGGAAGGGGCAGAAAGTGGCCTGCCTTTAAATGCACCGTCTTCCCTTGGGGGCAGAAAGCGGGCACTTTTACAAGGAAGGGTGGAAGTGAGCAAAGGTAGAGGGTCTCCCTGCTAGCCTGGTGCCTTATGTACTGAGCTGGTGCTGAGTTGGCACCTTCCTGGGCAGAAGTAAGTTGTGAAAGAGGCCAAGGGGATATGCTTTCCAACAAGCCCTCCAGGGGCAAAACCCCCTGGAGGTGAGCGTGCCATGGCGACTTGCTTTCCTCTGCAAATCCACTGTCAGCTCTGTGGGGGGAGGAGAGATCCCTCTTAGAACATATACATGAACTTGCCCTGTAGGGAATGTCTGATGAGGAGGAGGTGAAAGGTTATATTTGCATTTTCCAAAAGGCTAAGCAGGAAGCCAGGAAAGGGTAAAGAAGAAAAGAAGAGAAAACAATTAAAAACTAATAATTAAACTATCTCTTAGAAAAATGGGAGTATTCCATTACAGTGGTGATCAGGGAAGAAAAGTATTGTATTCTGTTTTTTGGTTTTTTTTGATTCTTTATTTATATATGTTTTTTGAATAGCAGCGGATATTTTCTGAAAGTTTAGTTATTGAAAATATATTGACTGAAATGTACAGATTTATTGACCAAAATATACCATTTAATCTCAGCCATACTGCGTCTTACAAATCCAGTAAATTTCTTCATCCTTATGAGTTAGTTTTAGGAAAAACATATTCATGAAGTTTGGTGGTACTTGCAGCATTCACTACAAAAAATAAGATATCAATAACGACATGAAAACGGTTGATGATCTCACTGCTCTTAGACATGCATATTATGCATCTTACATTCTATTTATATCTCTGTAAGGTCTTCATCATCCCTGCATTTGTTGTCTGATCCTCTCAAGTTATCAGATTCCATAAAGATGGAATAGTTGTCAGCATAAGAAATGTCAATTGCTGAAGTGACCTCTAATAAACTAGTCCTGTGGGGAAGAGCCATACCTGTCTTCTCTGATCCCGTCAACATCTCTGCTATCTTCCCTGGTCAGACTGTAGCCAATCATCCAATATAAACAGGAGCAAATCAATTGCAATGTGATTTGTATACCTTTCAAGATTACATAAGGTCAGTACAAGTGATATTGGAGAAGCCCTGGAATTAAGCAAAGCTATTGACAATGAAGATCCAGGCAGGATCCAATCCGCTGCAAGACATACAAATGCTGACAGTTACCGACTGATGACAAAAAAAGTCAACAAAGGCAATTAGTGAGCACAAAGCTTTAATTTGAATATCAAAGTGTGACACACTCTCCCTAAGGTGGCTCCTTATAATTTAGATATCAAAACATATACCGATAGATATTTCAAGTGTACCTGAAACTGCACTAACATTTCTTATTAGCGGGGAATCAGTATCCCTCTCTGATCTTTGGCCACACACTTGTTTCTGTCCATGCTGTTTTTCTTTTGAAAATGATCACTTCACTCTCTAGGCTCGATTGACTTTTGTCCATCCTTTAACACTCAGTTCAGTTGTGACTCTCTCAGAGAAGCCATCTATGTCTCCATCCAGTTCTGGTCTGCCTCTTTCATGTCATTGCACATTTAATAACAAACCATAATTAAATACTTAATCATTTAATTGGCTATTTAATACTGCTTCCCTCGAAAACCTCTAATTTTTATAGCATCAAGGACCGTGGTTGTCTTGCTTATCACTGTTCACCCGGCACTTAGCATGGGTGTACAGCAAGTGCTGTATTCCCAGCGTCTGCTTAATTATGCAGCGAGTGGGCCCCAGAGGCAGTGTAAACATGTTAGTCTGAGATGTGTTAGAGTAACGATTGGAAACTAGCAATGTGGCAGTCACTGAAGGCTTGTAACTAACACCCACTCTTAATTCTTTTGTGCCTTGTCTACCTCCACTACATTGGTTGAAAAAGTAAATACTCATTTTTCCAGGTACTGATATCACACAGCTCTGACCGATGAGACAGAACGAGGTACCTGCCAGGGGCTTCTGGGACTGCGTTGCTTTCTTGATAAATGAGACAAACATCACTCTTCCACATTATATGGCCTGCTTGAATATGGCTGTGATGCTTGGAATTACAGCAACCATTCTATGGCCCTGAGGGAACGCCTGAGCCAATCATAGAAACTCCAAACCTAATATTTTTTAAAAAAGAACTGATGCCAGTAGCTGCTCACCTCCAGGCATCTTGCTACATCAAATAAAATAAAACCCTATCAGTCTAAGCTGCTTGAGTTATCTGTTACTTGCAGTCAAAGCATTTGTAACAGACATAACCAATGTGTATTGGATTAAGGCATCTCAACATTGAGTCTCCATTTCTTCATTTGTGAAATTAAAAAAGGATCTAATATTTCTTACATCCAACAGTACTAAAATGAATTCTCAGGCAATTCACAATTTAGAATCTGGTGACTTGTAGAGGAAGGAGGAGGAAAGATTAAAACACAGGGTTACATAGGAGACATTTTAATTTATATGCTGGTCTCACCAAAAGTGAGTCTATCATTTTCTCTCACTCCCTCAATATTACTATGAATAGTTCAGCAATATCAAGTAAAATCTTCTAATGATGTGATACCAAGTATAACGTATACTTCTTCAAAACAGTAGGAAGCCACTGCTGTGGCTTCACCCCTGACATTAATTAAGTAACTAACTGACATCCAAATACTTGAATTCTGATCTTTTGATTTCTTCATGTCAGTTCATTTTTTGAATAAAAAAGCAAAGAATGGTGTTTCTCTATTCTATGAATAGGTATAATTAACTCCAGAAATATCTGTCATTTAGCAATACACAGAATTTCTTACAGTCATCATGGGTGTCATTGATGAAATACACATTGGCACCGCACTCTAAGAGCTCCTAATAAGGCAAGGCTTAGATGTTACTTCTCCACTGAAAGTTTATTTCCTACCTTTGAGTGGCTGCTAAATTATCAGCAAACCTCAACCACTGTGATCACAGATCAATTTCAGGATCCGAGATTTGGTTACTTATAGAAATCGAGAATGAGCTGGATTTTTCATATGCACATATACCCACAGGCTGCCTTTTGTTGTATCTTTGTTCAAATATTAAAATGCATTGTGTGCTAACTGCATTTACATTTCTAACACGATATCCATTATATGGGAAATTTACCTAGAAATAGCAAATAAATAAATCCTGCTTCTGTACCTGTGGTCTGTGGTTCTTATTGCCAGCAAATTTTATTAAGGTCTTTATTAACCTACTCAGTGATGAAAACATTATATATGCTCATAGATTTTCGCTGTGCAATCCAGCTCTGTTGCAAAATGGAATCTAACTCTTTATTTCTTTTTCTTCTACAGCATGAGGCCAACAAAATTGAGTTATTGAATTTATGCCATAAGAAACTTTGGAAATACCCACCCAATTTCATTTCTTATCAAGTCACCAATATTCTCCTTTCCCCCTTCATTCAGCACATAATTATAAGCGGCTAATAATCACCAAGGGGTACAAGTTGACCAACTAAAACTTCAAAATATTGCCAAGCAGCAGTAAGACCAGACCAGAAAAAAAAAAAAAGGAATACGGGTCTTTGCATTAGAAATTGCATTAAGAAGGCTTGGATAAATACCCTAGAAAACCTCTTTAGTGAGACAATATTCCACCTCTCTCCCAGTCTCAGGTTGAACACTGGAAAGAAACATCTAGGACCCACAGAACTGATAAATTACAAGGCTGTCAAATTGCTATTACTTTTAAGACTAACGGTCTTCTATTTCTAGACAGTGAAAAAAAAAAAAAACTATAGTTCTTGAAGATGAGTGGAGCTGAGATGTGTATCATACAAATCCTCAAGAAAATTGAGATGCTGAAGAATTTCCTTGTGCCTTAGTAGAACTTAAGTTTAAAAATTTATTTCAGATTTAAGGAGGAAGAAATTCCAGAGAAATGGATTTCAGGAAGTTGGAAGATTTTAATACCTTTCTTGTTTGCTAACAATTTCTTCCACACGAATCCTAAAGGAAAATCACTGATAAGGAAATCCAAAGTCCAGAGCAGGATCCTGTGTATCTGCCAAGCAGAGGCACCAATTCATTCATTCATTTCACAACTAAAATCTGTCCTCTTGAAATCTCTAAACTGATGATGATTATGAAAAGTATGAGTCAGGCAGCCAAGACAAGGATCGAGTTTCTGACTTAGAGAACCTGGGAGTTGGTTGGATTTGTCCAATCTTACTCTATTACTTCCTATCACAAGGTACGACAGCACAAGAGTTAATTATTGGATTCAAAAGCTGAACCTGTGTCCATTTCACAAATACTTACCAAGCACCTATTACATGTTGAGTACTGTCCTTAGCTCTGGGTAAATAAAGTTGGAAAATTCAGACACAGCCCCTGATTGCATAAAGCTGGCATTCTACAGGGGATCATGGATGTGAAATAAATGAGTAGATTATTTCAGGGAATGAGAAATGCCAAAAGCTGGGAGATAGGGGAGAGAAAGAGAGTGTTGTAAGGTCTCTTTGGTATGGAGAGGAAAGGCTCTTTACAAAGAGGCATTGTTTGGGCTTAGAACTCACTGATAAGAAGCCAGTCATGTAAAGACATGAGGAGACAACCTTTCAGACAATGAAAAGAAGAACAACGAAATGTCTTGAGGTGAGAACAATCTTGCGATTCAAGAAACCCATGGAAAGTCCACGTGACTGGAACACCAGACCAAAGGGTTGGAGCGTTGAGTGTTGTAAGAGGGTGTCAGAAAGGTTAGCAATGTGTTAGAGAAGTTCTTGAGTTAGTGAACATAGGGTCTGGATTTTTGTCACATTCTGCCATGGCCCACATATTCACAACCCAGTCTTTATCAAGTTTACAAAGGGAAAAGAATTCCTTTTCCTCTTTAAGCCCAATCAAAATTTCAGATATCAAGATGATCATTAAATCAGACCCTTTGGCTATATAATGAGAAGCGTGATTGCTGGATCACATGGTAGTTCTATGTTTAGTTTTAGAGGAATCTCTATATTGTTTTCCAAAAAGGCTGTACTAAGTTACATTACCACTAAGAGTACACAAATGTTACCTTTCCTTCACATCCTTGCCAACACTTGATATCTTTCATCTTTTTGGTAAATGGAAATAATAAGTATGTGAGGTAATGGATATGTTAATTATCCTGATTTAGTGACCCTACAATGTATACATGTATCATAACATCATACTGGAATTCATAAATGTATACAATTATTAGTCAATGAAAAATTTGTTAAAAGTTAAAAAGTTCAGATCCTAAGCAATGTGAAATCACTCAGTAGTATTTCTTTCTTCTAAGGAAGTAACTCCTCATATTGATCCTGAAGTCTCAACACCAAGAGCAGGCAGAAATGTCCTTAAGTGAAATTCAGCAGAGTACAGGCACTGTATAAAAGTTTGGAGTTCCATTTGGAGGGAAAGCATCAATATATTTAATAAGTGTGGAATGCAACTACATTGCCATAGTGAGAACAAAAATCACTGCTAAGGACCCTGGAGGTTGGTGCAAGATTTTTAATACAGTATTTCAAATTTAATTCAAATCGACAAATACTTAATGAGCTCTAACAAGCTGCCAGTCCTGTGCTGGGGATGCAGAAACAACCAGTCAGCAACTGTCTGCAAAAGGTCCATAATCAGAGTGGCAGACACAAATTCAGATAATGCTCTGAATAAAATATAAAGAGAACAAAGAAGAAAGTGTGCATAATGATTTGCAAAGAGCTTTGTGGATTTAGACTATGTGGCTCAGAAAGCATGCAATCTTACATAATTAAAATATCTAATTTCATAATTCTGGATTATAAATTATAATGGTATGTAATACATTATCTTCTTCCTTTCTCTAATTAAGTGATCTTTGAAGTCTTCTAAGTGACAATAAGCTGTAATCACCTAAAACATGACAAGAATAGTTTGTTTTTAATGGAATTGTAGAACTAAAATGTATACTCCATTTATAGAAGAAATCCGATGAAACTGTCACTGAATGATTCCCCTCTAGGTAGAATAAAAAATACCACAAAATGCAATTTGTACGCCTTTTTAGCGCAGTCATGTTGAATTTCTTTAGACTTGCTTGCTGCACAACTCATTAGTAGACAAAAATAAAACTTTAAAATGTGGAAGAGGCAAATTAAACCAGCTACCTATAAATGAATTAAATGCAAAACTGCAAAAATCTAATAGACCCAGTCAACTACTTTTTTTTAAGCACAAATCTCTAAAGTGAGTGAAAAGGGGAGGTAGCTATTCAATGGTTTCCTGGAAATGCGCATGGAAAACTGACAAATTCTTTTAGGCCCTCAGGAAATAAGCCTGTCTTTACCTCAAAATTCTGGAACTCACAATCTCATTTCTGCCTTTGCACAGGGTCAAGTTAATTTCAGCATTTACAAAACAAGAAAATAAAATCCGAGTTAGATATTGGGTCCCTCTCCAGGTATAGGGTGTGTTTTCTCATCTACTTCCCAGCAAAAATGTCTTGAAAGAAGATGATTTTGTCTTCATTCTTTGTACCACATTTATTTTACATTTATGTGACAGAGACTGCTCTCTGTGTATTCAATACAATTCCACTTCTGTTTCTAGGGAACAGAACCCTGATTTTGTTGGGGCTGGAAATACATCAAGCCTTAAAAATTACATCATCCAGATCCCCTTGGGATAAGATTAGCTAAATGTCACAGTTCAGGGCAAGGAGACATGGAAACAGGTGCTGGGTAGGGGAAATGGGAAAGTACCTTAAAGGGATGTGGACTCAGTTGCTATGCGTCTGTTTGGCCCCTTCTTTTCCTACTATCTCTTGCTTGGATGACGTGATGACTGCCATTTGAACTACCTCCTTCTAGGTCTTTTAGACCTCAACTCAAATATCAGCTCCAGAGGTAGATCTTCCCTGACCCCATCAAATTGTGGTACATGATAGAAGCTTTAAATCAGCCATACTGAAGTATTTACACCACAAACATTGGCAGATGCTATAAACTGTGGGCTTTTCCCCAGAAAGCTACTTGTTAATCATTTACCAATACACCTCTGCCTCCCATGCAAGATCAGATGATCTCCTCAGCAGGCTTAAATTTTCTTGTTCAATATCATAGTGCTCAAAAATGAGTTAAATATGCATAAGGGAAGATATTATACCTGACATGCTCTATTCCTACCACTCAGAAACATTAGCAACTAGAATAAGTGCTTTATAACATTCATGGAAAGGAGGGTGGGAGAGAAAAAAGAGATTCTACAAAGCTGAAAAATGAAAAGCAGGATAAGTAGGTAACAAATTCTGGGAACATAGATTTTAAAGTGCATGCCACAAGTATAAAATACTTACAACCACAAAGGATTAAAATCTAGAATATATAAGTAATTTTTGCTAATCAATGCAAAAAGGAAAGCAACCCCCAAGGAAAACTGGACAGAGGAGATTCACAGAAGAGAAAATCCTGAAGTCTAACATGAATATGAAGAGCACTTCCAACCCATAGCTGTCAAAGAAATGCTTCTGAATATACACCACAGAAATTCATACTGGTATCCATAACGTAATCCTCGTAAGAAGATAAACATCACAGAATTATTTGGGGACCAGGAAGTTGGAGACAATCTATAAGTCAATTTGGTGGGTGACCCCCATAGAGAGCAGCCTTCAGAAGCAATGGTTGTACCACAGCAAGATGGATGGGTATAAAAAACCCAATGTGGAATATGGACCCATATGTATATATAATTTTATAAAGCGATAACATTTATGCAGATTACAAACACATGCACAAGAATCAACAATACACATCCTGAAAATAACACCTACACCTACACACACACCCATACACCAAGACATGCATTACCTATGGGTAAAAAAACAAGAATGGAGAATGGAAATAAGATGAATAGATGAATGAATCAACCAATCAATCAAGGGATTGGTGTTGTGTGGGGTTGACTAATTGTAATAATCTGCCATCGACTGAGTTGTGTGATTAACTCAGCCTTTGCATCCTGGGTCCAGCAAACCACACACAACCCCAGGCTCTTCTAGTTCTACACATCTCTGGCAGCAAGCTCCACCAAGCCCAACCCCACGCCATTTCCTATTTCCTCTTCTCCTGTTGCCTCCTTCTCTGTCCATTGACCATATGCTCATCTACCAAGGTAACAACTCGGATTCAGAATCACCCTTGACTCTCTCTCGCATTCCAAATTCAGTTGGTCACTAGGTTCCAGTGTGCACACCTCCCAGAGAAGACACAAATAGTCCTCGCTGTCCATACCCCACCTACTCACTGCAAAGAAGGACCTGATTCAGGCCTTGGGCATCCCTCTGGGTACTGGTGGCATGCTCTCCTACTGGTCTTCCTGTATTCATTCACCCATCCATCACCACAGTGATTTTTCACAGCAGGAATAGTTATTACTCCATTCTTGAAAAGCTACCAGTTGCAACACTTTACCTATAGATTTACTTAGCTAATTCTTTGCCAAGACATACTGTGTCCTGCCCATACTTCCTCAAGCCCGGGGCTCCAGCTGCCACTGTCCCTCTATGGTGCTTTGGGTCAGATTGTCTTCAAGACTAGCATGTTCATCCTCACCATGTGCATTGGGTGAAACTTTACCATCTTTTAAGGTCTTGGTCAAATATCACCTCCTCCCTAGCTAGAATTTATTTGTCCCTTTTCTATGATTTGAGCCTCCATCATACCCCTTCTCTCACAGATCTCTTGTGAAATGCTCCTGCCTCAAGTCCTTTGCACTTTGTGGCTTCTTCTGCCTGCAATCCTCTCCCCTGACCTGTCCATGGCAGGCTCCTTCTCATTATTCAGATCTCAGCTTCATCTCCTAACAAAGGCTTTCCTTCCTAGATTACAATTTCTGACTATCCCTTTTCACCACTCAACCCTGCTGATAACTCTCTCACATATTACTGGGGCTTATCTTCTCCACATTGCTTTCTACCGTTTGAAGTGAGCTTGTGGATGGATAGGCAGTTATGTTCTTATTCTGACTTTCCCTCTACAATGTATGCACTTGACAGCAGGACATGTCAGTTGGGTCACCGTTATATGCAACATGGGCTAGAATTGAACCTTAAACAAAGTAAACCCTTGAATCTCCCCACACTGTAGATGAGGAAACTGAGGAAGAGAGATGTTAGGGGACTCATCCACAGTTGCAGAGCTAGAGAGTGCTGGTGCTGCAATTCCAACCCACATAGTCCCAAGCAGCAGTGTGCTGCCCCCTTGCTCACACCCATGTCGGGGCTGGAACTCAAAGAGGAGTTATGTTTCCGACCTCCCCAGGCCAGGGTGCCTTCTCGAGCCCTGGAGATCATTCCATCACCTATAGGAGAAGGGGCAGAAATACATCTTGCTCTGTTAGCAGCAGGCTCCCAATACAAAGGAGAGAGATCAGGATGTCAAGTCAGAGGGTGACTTCAATGACCTCAAATTTCTACTCCAACACAATATCTCAACATTTGGATTCGCTTTCGTGGTAGGCATTGTCCCCAAAGATGTTCATGACCTGAAACTGGAAACTGTGAACATGTTACACTGCATGACAGAAGGAAATTTGCAGATGGAATTAAGATTGGGGGCCTTAAAATGGATTATTTTGGATTTTCTTGGTGAACTCATAATAATCACATTATTAAAATGTGATTATTAATTCAAATTATTAATTATTAATTAAAAGTGGAAGAGGAAGGCAAAAGAGTCAGACAGGGAAAGGTGAGGACAGAAGAAGAGGCGGAAGAGACCTGAAGCAGGAGAGAGACTCTACTCGCTGTCTTTGGCTGATAAGAAGGAGAAAGGGAACTATGAGGCAAGGAGTGAGGACGTCTTCTATTAGTAGAACCTGGAGGTGGCCCTCAGTTAACAGCCAAGAGGGAAACAGGAACCTCAGCCTACAAGCACAAGAAAGAACCTGAATGGGCAAGGAAACCAATTATCCCCTAGAGCTGCCAGGAAGAAACACAGCCCTGCAGACACCTTGATTTTAGCCTGGTGGAATTCACAGTGGATTTTCAACTTATTAAAAAAAAAATGTGAGATAATAAATTCGTGCTGTTTCAAGGCACTAAGTGGTAATGTGTTCTGGCAAGAATCAAAAACTAATGCAGATTTAGGCAGAAAATAATGTTTTGCCTGGATCACGGAGCTCGTCAATCTTTCAGGAGACTCATGAATTGATAAGCTTGAATTTGTAAAGAGACCAGCAGGGGTTGCAGCAGGCATCCTCATCAATCAGATGCAGCTTGATTGGCAGGCCAGGAGCATTAAAAGCAGTGCATTGCCTTCAGCCTCATCTTAGTGCACTGTAGATGGTTCTGTCTGCCTCACAGATGTACCTGGACACAGATGTACTTCTGATTAACCATTATATTAAAAGAAACCACTCAATATCCCAGTGGAGGGAGCCTTGTATTCCTCCTGTGAGCCCAGGCTGCATGACATGGCATCCCTGGAAACCACCCAGCTGTCAGCCAACCACAGCAAGCACGCATAAAGTGAGGAGTTCTGGCTCAGAATGTGTGGCCAGAAGAACTGAGGCAGAAGGAAAGGCTGTGGTGAATGAACTTCAGGAAATGAAGAAAAGTTTGCAGATAATGTCAGTAGAGTCTCATCACCTAATATCCAGTTATCTCCTGTTTGTGGAAATGTCTCCTATTTTCTTTCTGGGAAGCCACCCTGACTTGAGTAAGCCCATGTCGCCTGGGTGGAGCCCAGTTGCTCTAGGGATGGACATAGGACCAGAATATTCCATTCTCTGTGTCACAGGAGTCTGTCCAGGGATAAGCTTCTATCTCAAATTTAGCCAGCGAGAAGCAGTCCCGGTATCTGTACTACAACCTCAGTGTTTAGGACAGCAGCTAGCACATAGTAGGTATAAATAAACATTCAATAAATAAATGAACCACAGTAATTTGTGCTGTTACTTAATATATGTATTTATTTGTCAATGGTTTAATTAATGTTTCCAAGAGTCATGGTTTGGTATAATTTGACAATGGTTTATTATAATTCATATATAATACAGTTTGTCAATGGTTTAAATTGCAATATAATAAAAAAACCATAACAAATAAATTGTCATGGTTTGTATAATTTGACAATAATTTGTCAATGGTTTAATATAATTTACTTATAATTTGTCAATGGTTTAAAATAATATAATTTTGTCAATAATTTTCAATGGTTTAATTAATGTTTCCAACTCTGGTCTGTATAGGTTTGCCTCTCTCTTTTGGTATATTTCCCTTGATAGAGTCTATGTTCCACCAGGGGAGGGACCATATTTCTACTGCTTCCTGTTGGATCCCCAGTGCCTGGTAGAATTCCTGGCACACTGTCGGCACTCAGGAAGTACTTGCTGAGTGAGTGAATGAATGAACGAATGAATAAATGAATGGCCTCTAATTCTCAGCCTTAATATTGTTGTTCTTGCTGGATTTTTGTTTGACGCTCTCTGGGTATTTAGCTTGGCTTCTGGTTCTTTGATCTGAGAATGTGGAGCCCACGGAGATACAACCTTTTCACCCTAATTCAATAACAAACAAGCACCAACAGCAGACCCACACTCTCTGGCCTCTAGGAAAGCCCTGGCCAGCTCGTGAGGTCCCCTGGGGGCATAATTCAGTCCAAATAACAGAATATTTAATATGCATTATATGCCAAGCTGAGCCCAGGCACATGTTAATTTACCTATCTGTCTGTCACCAACCACTTCAAAAAAAATCCCTTTGTTTTGGAATTTACAGACAATGTGCCAGCAAGACCACTTGACTGCCATTACTTGAAATTTATAATAATGTATTATATAGAAAATAATATGACACCCATGTTCCTACCACAAAGATTAAGATTTGTCCATGTTGAAACATGCAGCATGAATTAATTTTCCCTGCTGATTAACAATTCCTTACATGAATATAGGAATACGTGTGTATCCATTCACCTGCTGTCGGGCATTTGAGATTAACTGCCTTGTGATAGGTGCATCCATGAGCACAGCATAGCAGTGAGAATTCAGATCCAAGAATAAAAAGACCTGGGTTCAAATTTAGCTTGTTTAATTTTATTCCCTTATGAAAAAAAAAACAGCCTCAGTTATCTTATCTGGAAAATGGGGATCATAATCATGAATATTTCTGAAAACTGTTGTGAGGAATTGAATAAGATGGGTGAGTAAACAACACTTAGCAGTTTTCACACCTCTGTCATATGGACAGAGTTGAAAATTCTAGGGGTGTAGAACTTCCAACCACATTTTACCAATGTCCCATGAATACCATTAGACTTTCACCAGGTTGCATTTTTCAAACCTACCCTGACTCCTCCCTTCAAGCCTCCTCCTTTAGGAAGGTTCCTATGGTTCCCCCTGGGCTACACTGATCTCTTCCTTTTGTGAGGTCACACCCTGTCTGCATCACTTCCTCAAAACCTTAAACAGTAGACCACATGGTCACAGAATCTCTGGCTCAATGGTTTCTAACTCTCACTGCCCTGTGAGATCTGAGGCTCCTTCTGTGACGGGAGAAAGGGCTGTTACTAGAAATCAGGAATGAATTTTCACAGGATCTCACATTTTCCACATGCCAAGCTCAATTTGATTCCAATTCAGCATTGCCCTGCCCCTAGTACGACACCCACTCCAAAGCACTTATTTAATGTATCTAAATATAACTCACTGAAAAATAAATTCAGTTTTGGCTAAAGCTGTTGTTACTTCTCAAATTCAGACCGAATTAGCAATGTAACATGAAAGCAGAAATTTCACAAGGAAAGATACAAAAATGGCTCTCAGACATAAAAACGAGTTCAAATTTACTCATAATTAGATAACTATTAGGAAAACACTGAGATATGCAAATTGGTACAATACTTCTGGAAGGAAATTTGGCAATACTTGGCAAAACTTCATATTCTCTTACCTTTTGGCCCAACAATCTTACTTTTAGAAATCCACCCTGAAAATACACCTCCAAAAGTATATTTTTAAAAGGTGCAGTTTATTCACTGCACCATTGCTTGTAATTGCAAAATATCAGAAACAATAAAAAATGTTCATACAGAGAAAGCTAAATTATGTTATACCTACACGTGAGGTACGATGCAGCTATTCAAAATAATACCGAAGAATGCTATGAACTAAATTGGTGTAATTTCCGGGATATACTGTTAACTGTACAAAGAGAGAGAAAATACTATGCTATCCTTCATATAAGACAGAAGATCTGAGAAAATGTACAGCTATTTGTTTATTGCTGCAAAACAATTACAGGAACGATAAAACAGAAACTGAAGAGAACGAAGGTGATGTGGAACGAAGTGGAAATGGTGGGACAGGGATGGGGAGGCAGGCACTCCTCCCTGAGTAGAGTTTTTATATAATTTTAACTCAGAACCACAGTTATGTTTCTACATACTAAAAACGAATAAATGGTTTTTAAAACCGGGATGCGAGGGAAAGCAAAATGGAATATAAACAGTAACAATGAGCCTAACTGTATTACAAATGAGTAACATAACCACACGAAAAGAAGTGATAAGGAAAAGAACTAGCCTAAGTAACTTTAGAAACTACATTTTGCCGGGCGCGGTGGCTCACGCCTGTAATCCCAGCACTTTGGGAGGCCGAGGCGGGCGGATCACGAGGTCAGGAGATTGAGACCATCCTGGCTAACATGGTGAAACCCCCTCTCTTCTAAAAATACAAAAAAATTAGCCAGGCGTGGTGGCAGCCGCCTGTAGTCCCAGCTACTCAGGAGGCTGAGGCAGGAGAATGGCGTGAACCCGGGAAGCGGAGCTTGCAGTGAGCCGAGATCGCGCCACTGTACTCCAGCCTGGGCACAGAGTGAGACTCCGTCTCAAAAAAAAAAAAAAAAAAAAGAAACTACATTTTGACTCAATCTAGTAAAGCAAAATACAGTTAGCAATTCTGAAACAGACACTAGGATTAAGCCAATAAGTAAATATATAAGGAACATGAGAGCAAGTTTTCTCACTGTCAGAGGAAGAAATGTCAAATAAGGGAAAGGGGAAACCTAGAATGAACCTTGGTGATATATCCAAATCAGGGGTGCCAATGCAAATCATGTTTTTAATAGGTAGAAGATAGATAGATAGATAGACAGACAGACAGATAGATAGAAGATAGATGTATATGTGTGTACAATAATTAGTATAACATGTATATTTCCTAGCTTTCTGTACCGAAGGGGATTAAGAGCAATGATACCCCAGTGGCAATAAGCACACCTGTGAGACTTTAGTGCAGAAGGACATTCAGCAAAACTCCATAAGAATATTCTCTCCAGGCACAGTGGCTCACACCTGTAATCCCAACACTTTGGGAAGCCAAGATGGGAGGATCACCTGAGGTCAGGAGTTTGAGACCAGCCTGGCCAACATAGTGAAGCCCCATCTCTACTAAAAATACAAAAATTAGCTGGGCATGGTGGCTCATGCCTGTAATCCCAGCTACTGGGGAGGCTGAGAAGGAGAATGGCTGGAACCCAGGAGGTAGAGGCTGCAATGAGCTGAGATCGTGCCGCTGCACTCCAGCCTGGGTGACAGAGTGAGACTCTGTCTCAAATATATATATAATTCTCTATTATGCAGGATAAAAATATTTGAAGCAGACATACTGACAACCAGATTTGGGAATAAAACATTCAAACTGTATCTTCTAAGTAAATATTTAAATTATCCATGAGTTTCACACACAGAAAAGGAAATTAAGGAAATGCAAATCTTAAATATGTTTTCTTTAATTATTAATGGGCTTATTAACCCTAAAATATACCTCCCAAACATTGATTTACACAAGAAATTTCAGGCAGCATCCTCCCTCTTTTCGATTACAGTAAATTCCTCAGGGAGTTCTGGGAGGTTTATACTCCTGTCCCACCACGCCACAAGCAAAATCTAAGACAAATTTTGTCTGAAAGCTTTTATGGAAAGTCATAAACATCAGCTGGCAGGTCCTCATTTTTGTCCTCGAACCAGCTTGCCACAAAATGTGATATCAGAATTTAGGAATATTTTATGAAGCCACAGGGCTGTGTATGGAGAAATGGCTTATGCACTGACAAGCCATCATTCCTCTGTTTAATCTCCAATGCCAGTATACTAGCATCAGTCTTTTTTCCATCAGTAGGTGACACACTGTTGTCCATGTTCTGAAAGAGAAGTGAAGCTGTATTTGGCTCAATATTTTCTGAGATCGCTTTCACCACCCTGCTGTATGAGACATATCCTTAGCCAGGAGCATGAGATCGCCTTTTCAGGGGCCCAGCTATAAAAGGCTTCTTGACATTGCCCTCATTATGAGCCATACGAAGAATTAAGTTCAGAGCTTCCAAAAGAGAGCAAGATCCCATAATGTGCACCAGACAGAAAGAAGCTCCCAGAGAAGATATCCTGCCCTGGCAATGCCAAGAAAGCTGGCTTCCAGAAAGCCCCAGAGAGCTTCAAGGAAAAATTCATGGCCTTCTGCTACGCACGGCACCAGGAATCCTGCCAGAAATGCCATGACACAAAGGGCTTGAGTGCACAAAACTTCCTTGTGCAAATCTTTACCTGGAACATATGAATCATCCTGGAAAAGTGTCATATTCAGGATGGGCACAACCTCTCCCTCCAAGTACACAGGCAGTGCAGTGTGAACCCTGCTACAATATCCAGTCTTAAAATTGACCCTTTTCATTAAAATTCCACATGTCCCTGCAGAGCTAACTACCAATCATACGGCTGCTGGTCACCACCCTGAGAGTGAGGACCTGGGTGTTTCTGGAGTTGAGAGCATTTTTCTTACTCATGAAGGACAGCTTAGAACAATTAAGCTTATTTTTAATGGCCTTACTAGCTGTAAGGTTGTGAATAAGTGTATGTTAAGAATGTAACAGTATGACTTCTAAATTGGTTTCCCATGCTGCTGCATAGGAAGAAAACTATCATAAATGTAGTAGCATAAAGCAACACCAATTTATTATTGTACGGTGCTGGAGGTCAAAAGCCCTGAAACCAAGATATCAGCAGGGCTGTATTACTCTGGCAGCCCTTGGAGAGAATTCAATCCCTTGACTTTCTCAGCTTCTAGGGCCACCTGTGTTTCTTGGCTCATGGCCTCCTTCCATCTTCAACACCATCAAGCTCATCACTTCAGCCTCTGCATCAGTAATCACATCTCCTTCTCTGATGCTAACTATACAACCTCTCTTTCACTTATAAGTATGCTTCCAAGATAATTCCCCATCTCAAGATCTTTAATTTAATCACATTGCAAAGTCCAGGATACTATGTCAGCAAACGTGTCCACAGCTTCCAGTGTTTAGAACATGGACTTTTTCGGGGGAGTATTATTCAGCCTGCCATAGACCTCAACTGCCTTGAACATTCACCCTTTTAAATATTGTTTATTTGTTCAGCAAGCCCTTGTTTTAACCTCTAGTACAAATAAAAACTTAAGCCCAATGCCTAAATTAATTTCCCAAGAAATGGTGTAAATGTTCCAACAGAGAGTATTCCATACAGAGCTGTCAAAACAACAACAATGAATGGAAGAAATCGTCCTGCTCTCAAAGGATTATAAAGGCACAGAGAATTTAAGTAGCTGGTCCCACGTCACAGAGCAAGTGATGGAGTTGGGATTTGCAGCCAGCAGGCTAGCTCTGGGGTTCACACTTCAACCAATATTCTGTGCTACCTCCATTAACATTTTAGAGATGGTTATTCCCTTTTGGCCAAGGAACTGCTGGAATCCTAACCCCCATCTGCCACTTTCTTTGCACCCACACAACAGCCAGTTATGGAATTTAGTTTAGTCAGGTCTTCATCATCGCTTCTGACCTCCAATGAGAAAACTCTGTGGAATAAATTCAATGAAGAGAAACTCAGGAGATAAACACACACACACACACACACACACACACACACACACACAAATCATCACATTAACCTCAAGCATCCACGCTATGATCTCCCCAGTCAAGGGATCAATTTTCAACAGATTTACTGGGGTTATTGATGGCTAAAAACCCAGTCCTTCATTCCCTATACATAGCAGAGTGCTTGCTGTATCAGGCCTGAACTAAACACTATCAATGTGAAAATGAGGAGGACATAGCTCCCGGCCACAGAAAGCCCTTAGGCTGGTGGAGACAGCAGATCTAATCAGAAATTAATTAGACACCTTAGGACAAACCACCAGTGACAGAAGAGCAGACCAAGAGTGGGGATCAGCAAGGGAGCAAGAACTTCTCTGAGAAGGCACAGCCAGTCATGCAGGGCCACAGCATGGCCACAGCAGTTAATTAGGTGTGGGTGGCAAGGTGCTTACTCCTTTTATCTTTTTATTTTGAGATAACTATAGATCTGCAGGAAGTTGAAAAAATAATAGAGAGGTCTCTGTGTGCCTTCACCGAGCTCCCCCATGGCGCTTACATCTTACGAAGCTATGGTACAGTATCAACATCAGGAAACTGGCATTGGCCCAATGTGTGTGCATAGTGCTATGCCATTTTATCACGTGTAGACTCTGTTTCCCAGCCCCATAAGTTTATCATTTCAATAAATTGTATATACATGGAATCATGTATGGCATTTTGAGAGTGGCTTTTTTTTTTCCACTCAGCATAATGCCCTTGAGATACATTTGAGTTTCTGTGTCTGTCAGCAGTCCATTTCTTTTCATTGCTGAGTCGTATTACATGAGATTTAACCATTTGCCTATTGAAGGAGTTGCTTTCAGTTTTTGGCTATGATAAATAAAGCTGCTATGAACACTCATGATAGTTTTTTTTTTTTTTTTTGGTGTGATATAAATTATCTCTGTGACAAACACCCAGGGGTGCAAGTGCTGGTTTGCATGGTAAGTGCATTGAAATGTTTATGAAATTGTCAAACTGCTTTCCAGAGTGGCCATAGCATTTTACATTTCCACCAACAATGTACAAGAGATCCAGCTTCCAACATTCTCGCCAAGCATTTGGTATTTTATGTTTTCATTATTCTAATAGGTGTGTTATTTTTCATCTCATATTGGTCTTAATTTGCATTTCACTAATGGCTAGTGATGTTGAACATATTTTCATATCCTTATTTGTCATCCATATTCTTCAATAACATGTATTTTCTTATATTTTGCCCATTGTCTACTTACATTGGCTTTTTACCATTGACTTTTCTATCAGATATGTGGTTTGCCAACATCTTATCCCAGTGTATCATTTGTCTTTTCATCTTCTTAATGGGCCTTTACATAGAGCAAACATTTTTACACTTAACAGAATCCAGTGTATCTTTTTTTCTTCAATGAATCATGCTTCAGTGTCATGTTTAATAAATGTTCACCAAGTCTTAGCTCCCAAAGATCAAAGATTTTCTGCATTTCCTTTTAAAATTATATCGCTTTATACAATGATACATTCTGAGTTAATCTTTCTATAAGGTGTGACATGTAGGTCAACATTCTTTTTTTTTTTTTTTTTGCCCTTGGATGTCCAATGGCTCAATATATTGAAAAATACTGCTTGGTTTTTTGTTTTTTTTTGTTTTTTTTTTGTTGTTTGTTTGTTTGTTTGTTTTTTAAGACATGATATACCTCTGCTGAATAATTTTCTTCCCAACAATTTTATATGAGTATGCCACTGCTGCCCTGCTCTATTAAGTGAGATTTTCCCAGGTCTTAACTTGCTAACACTGCATCTCGACAAATAAAATGAGTATGGGTTATTGTCATCTTTTTTAAAAAATAAAAAAATGGAATGTAAAAATACCTTTCCCTTACACTCTCTGCATGCATTCTACCATTCTGCTAGTATTCTCGTTTCTATGAAGGAAAATGACATTTTTTTTCCCTCCTGCACTGATAACACACGCTCCATTTGGCATGTAAAAGTCCTCTTTTTGTTGATACAATTGCGGCCCTCTCTTCCTTTAAGTCCACAAGATAGAGTGTGTACATGTACATGCACATAATTTGGTCTTCAGTATTAAGACAATGCCTCCCTGAAATTAGAAACTTAATTTCTTTTCTTATTTTGAATATGCATCTCTCCGATACTGAGCAGACTCTTACTCTCTTCATGCCTCCTACCACTGGCTGACCACAGGACAATTTCCTCAGGATGAATGAATTAATGATGAAATGCTGGTGATTGTTATGGGGGCATTGACCACATCTTCATGTCTGATTGCCTTGGATAGTTGTCCTTATAACAACATTATCTCCAACCACAGCTCACTGAGCTGAGAACGTTCCTGATCTTCATGAAGGCCAAGGGCACCTCTTCCCTGCAAACTGGACATGGTTTTATCCAGGCTCTCTTTTCCTAGCTGGATGGCATTGTCTATCCTAACATTACTGACAACACAGTGACAATGTGGTTGTCTGTAGAATAAAGCCTTCAAGATTTCATTCTGACTGGTCCACAGACATCTCCAAGCAACCACTGTGGGTGCAATGAATCATCTGGAGAGGGGCTCCAATTCCTCAACACATAGTTCAAGGCAGCTCTTCACACCTTTCTGATATCTCTGAAAAACAGAAATTTTTCCGTGGTGCCATGATTGTGCCAGTTCCTTTGCACAATGCAGCGTAGAATCTGTATTATAGCTCAGCTCAAAAGAGATTTTACCTCTTATGATGTGGACTCAGGAAGATTGTGTCTCTTATGACGTGAACTTTTGGCTCCTATTGAAAAATAAACTCGCTTGTTTGCCCTAAAAAGCTTAAAGTTGACATTAATCTCAGAGATACAACTTTTATTTTTCAAAAGAGAAAAAAAAGCACAAAAACGTAGCTAGCATTTATTCTCTGCAGCCATTTAATATAAATAACAACTCTAGATTGTGAATTTTAGTTTCTCATAAATTCCTGGTTTCTTTCAGAGGAAAAGAGGTCTCTTCACTGATGCTTTGACAGATCACAGGTAGATGGGTTCATAGTGACAAAAATCTTTGAGTACTCTGACTTCTTTTGCCTTTTATCGTTCAACGTGAAAGGGAAAGAAGGAAGGAAAACCACGAAGAAAGTATTATGAATGGGTTCCTTGGAAGCTGAGTTAGGTCAACATGCAGCTTACAAATGAGGTAGACAGATTCCAAATATACTTCATTAGAAACATTACATTTTTCTGTGATCAGCCAGAAAATGTCTCCATGGTTGGTTAGCCCCATAGAAAGGAAGCATGTTACATAGGAGCAACATTTGCATGAATCATGATTCACATGTGTTTAAAATGTATTTCAGTGGCTGTCTCCCTCCTCTTCTCTTATTCAGAGTTCGCTTTTCATGAGCATCCAGGACTGCCAGCCCACACATTTCCACTTCAAACTCTTGCGATCCCTCCCTCCCCATCCTTGAGTAAATCTGTCTGCCAATCCAGTCTCTGTCCACTGAGGCCTCTTAACCCTGGGGCCATCGAGCTGGGATCCATTAAAGTCCAAGCAGACTAAGGCTCTGGGTAAAGGCCAGCCCAGCTTGGTCACATTAATTCCAGGATCTCCATGCGACCCACAGGGAACAGAGGGAACATGCTCTGGGAAGGAAACTTTTCTTTCTTCTCTTTAAGGGGCAGGGTCTCGCTCTGTCACCCAGGCTGGAGTGCAGTAGCATGATCTTGGATCATTCCAGCCTCGAACTTCTGGGCTCCAGTGATCCTCCCACGTCAGCCTCCTGAGTAGCTGGGGCAACAGGCATGTGCCACGACACCCAACTAAGGAAACTTTTTGTTAACGAAAGAAGCTGAGAGACCAAGGACTTAGTAGTTGCCTCAACTGTTCACACAAGTCTGCACTAGAACCAGTGAGAACCCAGCTGGAAGTTGAGGCCTTCTCATAAGCTGTGACATTGAGAGGTGGCCATTCCAGCAGCGCCGGCATTTCCTGTCGCACCATCTTGGATTCCATCCAGGACGCTGGGCTTCCATAGAAGCCCCGCTCTCTGGAACTTTCACTTGTATCTTTATTGGGCAGATCACTATCACATGACCACATAAGGGTCACTGGGAAATGTAGTTTTTTTTTGTTTTAAAGCTGAGCACATTATAACACAAACAAAACCTGGATTCTATAGATAAGAAGAGGGGAGAATGGTCACAGGCCAGTCAAGTATTGGCCACATGAATAAAGAGTACTATAAGGAGGTAAAGATAAAAATACTTTTTTAAAATGAAGAGTTTAAATAATCTCCCCTTTAGGAGCAAGGCTAGAAATAGGAACAATGGAAAAGAACAATTGCATTTTTCATTGCATGCCTTTCTGGATCACTGTGTTTGATTATAAATTACATATAGTCCCATGAGCTGAGAGCAGTCAGCAATACTTCCACTCAAGTGTACTTCCTTACTCTGTTCCCATGTGAAAATTGCACTTTGCATATTTGTTCTGACTCTGCAGTGACTTCCTCTTATCTGGACTCCTGACTGACTTGAAATCCACTCTCTGAAATGTGTATAATTTTTTCTATACCGTCTTTTTGAATAAGAATATACATTTTCATTGGGAGTAGGAGGTAGATTTAGGGTAATTATGAAGAAAATATTTTACCAAGACAAGAATGGCTTTAAACACTTAATTTCAAAGAAAAGAAAACCAACTAAGGTCAGAGACATGTGTGTTCACTCTAGGCATGTATTCAAATGAAACCAGATAAAGATGCCCCCTACCACCATGATCACAGCCCTGCTTACCACCAGAAGTATTTGTGAGGACAGGATATGGTATTTCCTGGAGTGTTTGGAGGTGGGTGGGGGGCGGGAACCTGCACCATTTTAAAATCATGGAGAGCAATATTTGTAAAGAACTGAGTCTGTTGAGCTATCCAGGAGCCTGTAGTCTCAAGAAAGGTAGATTTTCCCAGGATTCTGGGCTGTGTTTAATAAATTCTGAAACGCAAATGCAACTGTTTAACATCAGTTGGCAGCAAGTTTCTACCAATGTGTTTCCAGCCAAGCTTTAAGAGTCTCAGGAAGGAGGGTGGAAGGAAAGAGCAGATGATTCCCATTGAGGAGGATTTGGCTTTTACTGACTATCAGGCCCAAGCCACTGGAATCTAACCTGAAGCCCAGCAGCAAGAAGCCAACCCAGTGAGTATAACCCACCCGGCGGCAAGAAAAAGACATTCTAGCTTTTTCCTCCTAGGACCTCAGCAGTTGCTGTAGGCTCTGCCACCTTTCTGGTCAAGCTGAGGTCTCTCTCCTTGCCTGCCCTGTGGCCACCACTTCTGTGCCAGGTGGGAAAGGCTTCTGGTGCCAGCTGTTCCTGAATAACTCGGAGACTGCCTGTCCCATGCTCCTTGCCTAGTCTGCACTAGGCAAGGACCCCGACCCCACTTGCACATCATAAAAATGGCAATAGTCATTATGCCAGCTGGTCTCATAGTAAACGCTCCAGAAACTATGCTAGGTGCCTACCTTGCCCATTAAATTCCCTCCTATCCAAGAGGCCATGAACTCCCATGTGGAGACGACAGGACTCCCGGGAAGCCCAGGCAGGTTCCAGAGACTCACACCCAACGCCCCCAGACACCAGCGTCTCTGAGCTCCACAGTCCCTACCTGACAACTCCAAATCACACCGGACTGAATCTGGCACTTAGGAGGAGTCGCAGATTTCTGCCAAGCTGGGGTTTGCGGTTAGCTGCGTTGTGAGCAGGGGTTCCTCCTTGGTTGGAGGGAAGATGCTCAGAAAGCCAGGCTCTCCGCCTGGGCAACCCAGTCCCAGTTTGACAAATTGAAAGTCGAGTCGGGATGGGAGGTGGGATGCGACCCTATGCTTTGGGCAAAGGAGATACACATAACCGGGCCCCACTTCCTGGATCTTGGGTGCCACGATGTGCCTCAGTTTGGAGTGGAGGACAATAAACATTATGCCTCAGCCATTCCGCCTCTCACTTCCCGACAGCACCTGGCCTGATTCCAATGCTGCAGGTGGTTCCAGGTTGGGGATCTGAAGATCTCAGAATGGCCACATTTGCCCCCACTCTCCTACCTGGTTGCTGGCCGGGTCTGCCCAGTGAGGGGAGGAGCGGCTCCACGCCCCAAGGCAGGCGCTCCTTGTGGCACTGGCGTCCTTTCTGGCTCTCCCCAACAACCTCAAGTTCAAGCTCCCTCCGACCCAGCGTCCCGCGAGAAAGACGCCCACTCCTGCCTTACCTTTGTCGGGCACCGCGCCCAGCAAGCAGCTCTGAGCCCCGCACAGCCCGGGGGCCACACCCTCGGAGCGCACCCGGCATCCCCGCTGCTCCTGTGTCCGGCCCCGGCCCTTGCCCCACGCAGCCGAGTCCGCTGCGCCACGTTGCGTCTCTAAGGGTCGCTACCTGCCCCTGCAGAGTCCTGGCCGCGCTGACTCGGGCTCTGGTGGCTGGCGCTGCCCCCAAGACAACTCTTCCCCAGACCCCGCCGCCACTCTGCCACGCCCGAACCCCAAACCGCGCCCAGCCCACCTGTGCTTTGCTCCCAGCTGCGCCACGCCTCAGATGCAGGCGGGGAAAGTGCGCCCGCGGGCAGGGAGGGGCCTGCCTGGGAGAGTCCCGCTAGGCCCAGAGAGAAAGGCTGGAGGCAGAGCCGGGCGGCTCCTGCAAGCCTTCGGGAATTCGCTCCTGCAGTCCCTAAACTTGACTGTAACCACCTCTGGTTTTCGCCGTCTGCGGCGCAGCTCTGGAGAGTTCTGGCCCAGATCCGCGCGCCACTTCGCTGGAGGCTGGAAGGCGCGTTCTCCCTGGGATGTGCGGATGCCTGGAATTCGAAATTAGAGCTGGGTATTTGAGTGTTTTGTTTTGTTTGTTTTTTGTTTGTTTTTGTTTTTTGGTTGTTTTGTTTTTTGTTTTTGTTTTTTGACGAGCCTGGCTCTGTCGCCCAGGCTGGAGTGCAATG